>NW_025791777.1:1480839-1636026 GCF_000001405.40 Homo sapiens | reverse complement strand
TCACCTCTGAAGATAATTTTTAATCTTTTGCAAATTATTGAGACTTATTTAATGACCGAGACTACACAGTCCTTCGTAAACATTCCATGTAAATTTGATAAAAATATTTTCATGAAATTTTTTGTGTAGTGTTCTAAAACTTGAAATTAGACTACATTAGTTGATAGTATTATTAGAATCTTCCAAATCCTTACTAATTTTTATTTGTTCATCTATTGTTTATTTTGAGCCGATGATTAAAATCTTCAACTATGAGTGAAAGTCTATTTCTCTGTTTAGTTCTGTCTGTTTTTACTTCATGCATTTTGACACTCTGTTATCAGTTGTATAAACATTGAGAATTATAATGCATTGCTAATGAGCTTAACCTTTTATCATTCCATCTCTGATATTTCAGCTTATTTTGAATCCTACTTTCTCTGGTATTAGCCAGCTACATCAGTTTTACTTCCTTTCATTTTCAACCAATTTTATGACTCCATCTCAAAAAAAAAATGCATTCATTATACAGAGCATATAGTTTTGTCCTTTTTAAATCCAGTCTCAAAATTGCTAGCTCTTAATTTAAGTGTGTTATGGGTTGAATTGTCTGCCAAAAAAAACATACGTTGAAGTCCTTACCCCAGTAATTAAGGATGCAACCTTATTGAAAGATAGGATCTTTATAGATGTAATCAAGTCAAAATGGGATCATTAGAGTGGCCTGTAATCCAATGTGACTGGTGGCCTTATGAAAGGGGGAAATTTGGACACAAAAATGCCACCAGAAAGCACAACATATGAACATGAAGAAAGCCATCTAAAAGCCACGGAGAGATGTCTAGAACAGATTCTTCTTCACAGCCTTTAGAAGGAACCAGTACCTTGAATTCAGACTTCTAGCCTTCAGGACTTGAGATAATACATTTTTGTTGCTTGAGGCACCTAGTTTATGGTACTTTGTTATATAACCCTAGGAAACTAATATAAATGTTCAATCCATTTACATTTAATCAGTGATGTCAGTGTTGTTAAATCTACCATGTTACTATTTGCCTACTATTTTCTTATTTGGGTGTTGTTCTCTTCCCTTGGTTGTTGATATTTCTTTCTTCACCGGTTCAGTGTTACCTTCCTTAGAGTAAATGGATATTTTTCAATATTTCATTTTAATTATGCTATTGGCTTTATACCCTTCATACATGTGTTCTTGTTGATTCGATGTTCTTGGATCTCTGCATTGAAATTTTTCATCAAAATTTGAAAACACTGGCAATTATTTCTTCAAATATATTTTTTCTTTCCCATTTTCTGACTCATCCTTTTGAGACTTCATTTGTGTATAGGTTTGATGGCTTGATATCCCATGTCATTCAATCTCTTATTTTAATCATTTTCCTCTTTTGTTTGAGATTAGATAAATTCAAAAATGGTTTTCAAGGTTATTTGTCTGCTTTTCAGATAGCTGAAATCTGAGAGTATACCCTGCCAGTGACTCTTTCATTGTATATTTTGCACTTGTTACTTCAACAATGTTCATTTCTCAAAATTACCTTTTCCGTTCTATCATTGTGACAATATCTCCATAGTCTAAGGACATATTCATAATATATATCTGTTGATTTCAATGCCTGGGTCATTATGATGTATGTTCTATTGACTGCTTTTTTCCCCTTGATTATTTATTAAATTTTCCTGCTTCTTTGCGTAACTTGTATTTTTGACTAATACACTGTAGAAAATCTAGACGTTGTCTTCTTGTAAAAGGCCCTAAGATAGTCCTTTGAAAGCTGTTAAGTGGCTTCCAGATCCTTTTGATCTGCCATGCCTGGTTTCATTATTTGTTAATGAAAATCTCTTTCATTTTTGTTCTTAAAGATAGGACATAGTCTTTACTGAAAGAAATAGTCCTTGTTCTTAATGCCTGGAATATTCCGTAAAATATCTTCCCTGTGGCTAGTCAGTAACCCAAACATCTCCTTGTCCTGTTACTACTGATATCTTATTCCCACAGTATCTGCTTTCAGCAGGTCTTGCAGATGTTAACCCTGCTCAGGTATAGAGCAGCTTTTGACGAAATTGGTGCCAAATACTTATTCTGGCTTCTGTAGGCCTACCCCATGCCTCTTTTTCCTTTCCTATACAAATTTCAGCCACTTCAGCAGCTCTTAAATAACAACCACTTAAGCAAGTGTAAGCTATTTACAAATATCGATAGATAGATAGATAGAGAGAGAGAGAGATGATATAGATAGAGATTTAATTGTAATTTTAGATTCAGGGGGTATATGTGCAGGTTTGTTACAAAGTTATATTGCTTGCTGCTACTGTTTGGGCTTCCACTGATCCTGTCACCCAGGTAGTGAACTGAATACCTAACAGGAAGTTCCTTGGCTCTTGTCCCTCTACCCCTACCTCTTTTTGGAACCTAATTAAACTAAGAGCTTCTGCATAGCAAAAGAAATTATCAACAAATAAGCAGACAACCTACAAAATGAGAGCTTTAAGCTTTAATTTCTTCCTCTAAACTCATTATTTTTAGAGTCTGCCTCCTTGTTTAATGGGAGAAAAAGTGCCCCTAGTCACATTCTCTGGTTAAATGTGGTACTTACCTCACAGCTTTCTTCTCTCTTGAGTATGAAAAACTTGTACTTCTTGTTTGATGCATAAAATCTGGTTCCTCATATATGTTGCCCAGTTTTATCATTGTTTATAGTGAAAAGGCAAGTCCCTCCAATAATTCTATTATGGCCAAAGACTAAAGTGCCTCTGATATGACTTATGTCCTTCAGAAATTGCTTACTCTTTAGTCTGTTGGTAGAATTCTTCTCAACTTTCCATAGTTATTTTAATAAGTACTATATTTTCCTATTTCAATGGCAATTTGGAATAAAGGAGAAATAAATGTATTTGTTTGGTCCATCTTTGTGTATTCAAACTGTTAAGTCATTACTTTTCACGTCCACTACACATATTACTGCACAGTAATTCCTTGTTTACACCTATAATCTCCCTCTCCTGTTTTCCTAGTTTCTATTCAAGTATTTGGGGTAACTGATATTTCTTAAAACAATATGTATTCTTGGAAAGAGATGTTTCTAGAATCCCCTTCTTAGGTGACTTATTAGGAAAAATTATAAGAATAAGAACGAGAATAGAGAAGAAAAGTAATTGAAGACATCCACTTCAACTCTAAATCCCCCTAGGAGAAAAAAGGCTAGCACTTATTTAAATGCCCTTCTTAGGTGACTTATTAGGAAAAATTATAAGAATAAGAATGAGGATAAAGAAAAGTAATCGAAGATACCCACTTCAACTCTAAATCCCCACAGGAGAAAAATGGCTGGCACTTATTTAAACTCATCTAGGTTTTAGTTTTGCTGATGTTGTTTTTCCAATAATAATCTGTTTCAATTATTATAACAGCAATTTCAGTGAAATATGGTACTTACCAGCTAAGTTTTACACAGGGAAGCACTTTCCTAAACACTTCCCCATCCTTCTTCAAAGTTTGAATCCAAATCTTTTGTACTCCAGGGCTTATTTTGTTTTTCCTACAGCATTCTGCCTTTCTAGAATTAGCACTAGTTACCCTCAGGAAAAGCAAATACATGGACCCATAAAATAATCTTTGGAAGTCTTTCTTCTCCTGCTAGTTACCAAATTATAATCTTCTTATTGTAATAATAAAATAAAATAAAAAATAAAAAGAACTATTTTACTCTAATAAGTTTCCCATTAAGCTAAGCCTGCTTTTGTTGTATTAGAGATTAACATATGTAGACAGTGTTCTTTTTGACTGGAAATGGGGATTAGTTATGGTTCAAGTAATGCATAAACAAGATGTATTTTTAAAAATACGTCATATTTATGCATTATATTTAAGCAGCCATTTGTAAAAAGCTGAAACTTATTAGAAAGTGAATTCTTCATACTCATGTTTGTATTTTCAATGTTTAGGATTATTTGTTAGCTTAGGTATAGACTAGATTATTTTTCTAAACAAACAGGAATAAGAAATATAGGTAGTAAAATTTACATGACCTGGTAAAATTTAAAATATCCATTCTGACTAACAGGCAGTGATGAGAACAATAAATAAAATATATCTTGGTTTAAATTCTAAGTAAATATATTTGACAATATAAATATAAACATACTCATATGAGTGAATTGCTTCTAATTCTGGCTTTTAGCTAAATAAGCACTTAATGCTAGTAAGAAAAATACATTATTTCATAAAGATAACAAATTCTTTCAGAAATAGTAATTATATTTTTAAAGAGTTTGGGGAAAATAGAAGTGTATACTCTAATCTTATAGCAAAGTTTCTGCTAAGTTTTTGTGATGCCAGTGTTTTCATTATGAATCATTTCACTGTCAAACAAAATGTACGCTGTTGATTAAACACAGGCAAAAAGAGACGGAAAGAAAAAGGTATATTAAAAAAAAGACCTTTGGTTATTCTGGCTGCCACCAATTGCTTTCTTGTTTCAGCTGAATTTTGAAGTAGCTAATCATATTTTGGCATTTTCTTGTCATCAAAGCATTTCGTGAAATTATCCCATTACAATGTTTTTCTCAGAGGCAAAATTAACATGGTTGACAGTTTAATTGACATATTTCTTTTTCGTTGTGTGCCTTTGCCAATTAAACAAATTGCACCCTATTTTGATGTTCATTTTGTTAATTATTTGTAAAACTGTAGACTCTGATTTTTTTTTTTTTTAATTTTCAGGTGTCAGTTTCTTGGTCGGGAATGAAAATAGTGCCAACCTGTGATACCTTCACTCTAATTTTACTTTCTGAGGAAGTTTTCTGTAATAGTTATTTGGTGATAATTATTAATACTGGTGAGTTTTAAAATTTTTGCTTTCAGCAATTTTCCATTTTTTTCAACATACTTATATCGCAATGAGGCAACCAAATATGAATCCTGAGAATGAAGATGGAAAATGAATATTTTAATCCAATATCGAGTTGTTCTTTCAACATTTTTAGTTTTAGTTTTAATCGAAAATATAAAGTTACATAATTGTGTGAGGAATAATTTTTGCAGAGAAATTTTTAAAAATTCACAAAAGGAAAAAGAAACCTTTACCATGAGTCTATAACATTGAAAGACTGTGTTTAAGTTATTTTAATAAAGCCAAACCAACACTTTCAGCAGGAACTAAATGGCAGCATCTGATTTCACGCTGATACATATGTATTAGTGTGGTGCTCACTTTTACCCTTCATTTTACCTTGGGTCTTGCCATTTTCTTTCTTTTTATTTTTATGTTTTTTTGTGTTTTGTTTTCTTTTGGAAGAGGTAATTTTTAGGGAGAAAAAAAACACTTTTTCCTCATAGGTCGATTTAAAATGTTGGCCTTACCTTAATCTCCTCTCTCAAACTCAATCCACTATGTAATGGGTCAACATACTTTTCTGTGAAGGAGCAGATAGTAAATATTTTAGTCTTTGCAGGCCATATGGTCTCTGTTGCCAGCTCTTCCATTGTGGTGTGAAAGCAGCCATAGACAACACAGAAATGAATAAGTGTAACTGTTCCAATAAAAACAGATGATATGTTGAATTTAGCTCACAGAGTTTAGCTTGCTGCCCCTGCAGGAGGCCTTTGGAGTAAAAGCTTCCTGAGAGGAGGACTTTTTGTCTTTTTTGCTCAAGTTCTAGCTCCAGTACCTAAAATAGTGCCTGTCACGTAGGTATTGATGAATATTGGAACCTGTTGAACATACACCTAAAATAAAACATTTGGCAAGATACAGTACTACACAATTTGGAGAACACTTGGCTCCCATAGAAATCAAAGCCTTCCTGAGTAATTAATTATTTGGCCTGATGATGAATTACTGTGCCTGAGATGATAGAGCTAATTTATTTTTCAATTCACTCAGGGGACACACGTTATTTTCACTGTGAATTTGGTTAAAATGAAAAGATTTCCTGCTCTAAGTCCTGGATAGACCTTTATGTAATAGCATACTCTTCACTCTTTTTGAATCGCATGCAGTTGTCAGACTGGATGATTTCCAGACAGAGGTTCCAAGTCTTTCATCATGTTTGGGTTAAAGACCTCATTAACATACTAGTCCTGCCATTTGAGTCTGTTCTCTTCACGGAATATTTTCACCTGAATCAGTGGGTATAATTCATCAGTGTCTGGTTGCTTCAAGTTATTTTTCTTAATGCTGATGTTAATGCATGCCCATCTTTATGCCTCAACACATTGCACAATGAAAAACAAAAATTATTTTGGAAGACACAGCTGACATCTATATGAAATATTCAGTATCAGTGATTGAACTTCAGCAAGCTCCTGTGGCCAGCAGGGTTTTACGGAGGTGCAACTGCTCTCCCACGATCACTTATCATAAAGCCAGAGACAATTGGGCCAATGTAGCCTCTTGCCTGCTTTTGTGTACAAAATATAAATAGAATAGAGCAAATAAGGAAAAATAGTCCCGCAGCTGGAAGGCAACTTTAAAGAAAAATGATGTTCATAGCTGTCTTGCCAGTAGCTGGCAAAGCAGTTTTTATAAGACATATTTAATGTTTACAACCACTTGGAGGCTGGGGAAGGAGTAATACTTTGAAAATATGTTTAATGTTGTGAACCACTCTGTGGCCGAGAAGCAACTCCGGCTAAAATATATTTAATGCTTAGAGTCATTTGGCGGTTTCGAAAAAAAGAAACTTCTTGTTAATTTTTAACATTTATTGCTGATCAGTGGCTGCTAAAGTAACTATCAGTACAGCATGATTTATATTTAGGGACACGCTGTGCTGCTACTAAAACAATTCATACTCTTCTCTCAAGGCTACACAAAAAGTGTCAATAGCATTACCTTTGCAATTGCACCACTAATAAAAACATAGGAATCAAACAGACGAATAAAATGCTCCCTGCCCACACAGCCATAACATCCTATGGCCCTGAAAATAGTTCTGCCAAGCTGCGTGCAGTGGACACTTCACGGCTGGCACAGGAGAGATCACAAGGCCTTGCTCAATTTCATCAAAAGTGTTAAAGCGACTCAGCAGATTGTGAAGCACAAGTGGAAGCTGATAATTGGTGTTTCTTACAAATCAACGGCTTGTCTCCACACATCAAGGTAAAGGCGTCCTCTACACCAAAGAAAATGTAAATTGGGATAGAAGGTCATTATGTTTTTAAATAAACTTGGTTAAATTTGTAGAAAGGGCAATGGTAAATACTGAGCTCACATGTCAGATGGAGAGAAAACTTGAGAAAAGGGAAGAAGATAATGAGCTGGAACCTTTACCATTTAGACTTTCTCTGGCTAGATTTCTGAGAATGATCATCAAACTCTTATGAGGACCCTTTCCAATGTATTGACTGCACTTCCCCAGGGATTGTGGCAAATGGTAAATATATATTTTCTCCTTGCTACTTGCAATAACCCTGCTCATAAAGTGTTACTATTATTCACTTGCAGGTGAGAAAATCAATGTAAAAGAGGAGAAATAACCCACACAACCACATACAACTAGGAAATGATAGATGGATCTGAAAAAAAGGATATGCACTCTTAACAAGTTCAACACCCAAGTACTATTGCAAGTACCAGCTGTATTTCATGGAAAAAAAAAAAAAGAATAACTCAAAAGGCAGAACGAAGAGCCTAGAGGTCAGAGATGAGAGGCATGAATAATTATTCACAGGCGTTGAATATAATCAAATGACTTGCAACATTTACCACTGGGATTTTAAAATGTGGTGGACCAATCATTCTTTTAGTCTGTGCATTTTCCCATTTTTTTCAACAGGAATGTCTAGAGACATTATTCCTGTTTTGCCACTGTATTTTTGGTGAATGTGTAGTAAGTAACTGGCCTCTTTAGTATCACAAAGCTGGATGAAGAAAATGTGGTACATATACACCATGAAATACTATGCCGCCACAAAAAGGAAATGAGATCATGTCCTCTGCAGGGACATGGATGAAGCTGGAAGCCATTATCCTTAGCAAAGTAACGCAGGAACAGAAAACCAAACACCACATGTTGTCTCTTAGAAGTGGGAGCTGAACGGTAAGAACACATGGACACAGGGTGGAGAACAATACACACTGGGGCTTGATGGGGGGTGGAGGGGAGGGATGGGGAGCATTAGAAAAAATAACTAATGCATGCTGGGCTTAATACCTATGTGATGGGTTGATAGGTGCAGCAAACCACCCTGGCACATGTTTATCAATGTAACAAACCTGCACATCCTGCACAGGTACTCCAAAACTAAAAGTAAAAAAATCTAAAAGAAAAAAAAAAAAAGAATTAAACCCAAAATCACTTCCCCATCTGGACTTGATTTAGATGAAAAGCTTCTGGACTTTGAGCTGATGCTATAGTGGGTTGAAAATTTTGGGGTCCTCAGAAGGGGATGAGGATATATTGCATGAGAGAGCAACATGAATCATTGAGAGCCAGAGTATAGAGAGTGGTAGGTAGACTGTAGGAGAGCCCTCAATGATCCCGGCTTTCTTGTATTCGCGTTGCACTTACTTGTATAATATGGCAGATGGGATGTGATGTCACTTTCAAGATTAGGTTATAAATAGACTATGGCTTCAATCAGAGGGTTTTCTCTCTGTCTAGCTCTCTTTTGGGTAGTTCATTCTGAGGAAAGCCAGCTGCCACGTTATGATGTAGGCCTGTGAGGTCCACGTAGCAAAGAACATATGGAAGATTTCTACCACCCCCTAACTAAGCCTTTAGATCAGACCGCAACCCCAGCCAACAAGGTAGCTACAAACTCTTGAGAAGCCTTGAGACAGAGGTACTCAATAGAGCCATTCCTATGAGAAACGTAAGTATCTGCTGTTTTACACCGCTAAGGTTTTAGCTAATGTATTATGCCATAATAGATAAGTTATATACAACCTTTATCAAATAATAAAAGTAACCATCATCAGTAATGAGACAAATCAAAAACCATGGCCCACCCAACAGAACATAATGAGGAGAGTACAGAATTGCTTCTGGGATATTTCTGACAAAGATGTATATGCTTCATTCATACATGAGGAAACATCACACATACTCAAGATGGGAGAGCCATTCTAAAAAATAACTAGGCAGAAATCTTCAAAAATATTAAAGTCACGGAAACCAAGAAAAAATATGAACCTGTTTCAGATTAAAGGAAACTAAACAGACCTAACATTTTAATACAATGTTTGATTTTGAACTTGAACTTTTTGTTATATAAGACACTATTGAGACAAGTGCTAATGCTTGAATAGGGCTGAAGGATTAGATTATAATAATACATTAATGCAAATTTCCTGATTTTAAACATTGTAGTTTGATTGCACAAGGAGAATGTCTTTATGTGTGGAAAATAAATAGTCAACATTCTGTCTTCAAGCTTCTGAGAAAACTCTGCTTTTAGGGCATAGATAGAAGTGGATGATAATTCACCTGTTCCTCTGCTACTAATTGAGCTGCTCTCTGTTTCCATGGCTGGCTCATGGGATGAGAGAATATATCTAGTTTTTTATGTTTCAATTTGTCTCTCTATGGCATTTTTGTGAAAATAAGGAAGTGTGGAGACTTATATATGTTTCTAAATTGTAATAGTTCATTAATGTAAAGTACAGACACAGTCTTCACTTTTCCTTCTTAGACCGTTTAAATATGGCCACGAAACAAGTAGTCTCTGGTTGGCTGGACACTGTGGCTCATGTCCTTAACACCAACACTTTGGGAGGCCGAGGCAGGCAAATCACTTGAGGTCAGGAGTTCGAGACCAGCCTGGCCAATGTGGCAAAACCCCATCTCTTCTAAAAATACAAAAATTAGCTGAGTGCGGTGGTGCACACCGGTAATCCCAGTTACTCGAGAAGCTGAGGCAGGAGAATCACTTGAACCTGGAAGGCAGAGGTTGCAGTGAGCCAAGACCGCACCACTACACTCCAGCCTGGGCAATAGAGCAAGACTCCATCTCAAAAAAAAAAGAAAAAAGAAAATAGTCTCTGGTTAAATAACCTCTGAAAGACTCCACCAAAAATTTCATCTTAGCATTTCTCCCCAAACTTCAGGTAAAATAAAATAGAGTTGAGAGAAAAATAGAAAGGCAAGGGAGTACCTGTTCACTATTTTTATTAAACCAGTGTTCTACTTTATTTTAGGTGTATCTTTTCTTATTTAAATGTCAGCTAAACTTTCTTTTTAAGATATTGAATGAAAGATGCCCGTCCTTCAGGTTTCGTTTAAGCAAGAATCCCCATTCTCAAATAATATAATATAAACTTTCCAAATTCTTAAGTAGATCATCTGAGATTGAAAGCTAAGTTTAACTTTCTCAAAGATATTTTAGCCGCCATGACACCTAGACAAAGTGGTATATTAAATTCTGATTAATTTGGTCCTAAAGCACCTAAGAATCATTCTTACTTTCTTATCCACAGGGGTTATTAAGTTTTCACATTAAAAAAAATCCAACAGTGAATAATACTGCATTGGGGTTACTGTAATTGTTAAGTAAAATAAGAAATACAAATCTTTAGTTAGATCACATGGCACCTGACTACTGCTTAGAAAATGGTAAGACTTACTACATAAATCATGAGTCACTATTGACATCTACTATATCATATCATAGGTTAGGTATCTAATTATAAATAGTCAAATCAGCTGACTCAAGGTGGCATAGCTCAAGCAGAGGAAGATAATACAAGTTGAGTATGGATTTAACACTCTAAACCTGTCAGCACTGTAGGAAAAGTAACTTAAAACTGCACACCCCACTTATGCATAATCATCAGATATAAAGAGGGTACATTCCTGTAATTTATTGTTGCTCTAGTGATCTTAAAGAATTAAGTCCACATTCATAAAGTCCAAACTTGTCTCCAAGGATTTGCTTTGACTTTGGGAGTATCTGGATCATTAAGTAATTTCCGGAGGTCAGAGTAAAAGCTTTTTATCTCTAAATATTACTTCCCTGGAATATTAGATGTAGCAGAAGTCAGTAACGGAGTGACCTTTCTCTTAAACAATTCATAGATTCACTGAAATTTTCTTCAACTTTAGGAAAATTAAATATATTCCACAGTGCTGTAAGTCTTAAATATTGATTTTCCTCTGAAATCTTGACTCATCCTACCCACCAACATTCTCCCTTTGTACACTATGTTCTTTGTAATGTTCATGTTACACAAGTGAAAATTAGTAACATTAGTAAATTTTCATTGCAGGTTTATTTGTTCATATTTCTGGATATATAATCCATTACTGTTAAACTTCATATCAATGTTCCGATATTTCTTCATCTTATGTTTTATGTTACAAAACAGGTTATTTCACTATATGTATGTTTAATTGATTAATTCTTCCCTTTTTTTGGAAATGAAACAGCACTCTCAATTATTGGGACAGAAAAGTTATTTCATAGGGAATACTTCAAACACTGATATCTACAACAGGCAGTAAGATTCGTCACAACAATTGGTATACTGTCAATATACCATACAAAGTTCCATCTGGTCTTGATTAAAAATTATTTTAGTTTTCTCAGGAAAATGATACAGAGGGAGAATTGCCTAGATTATATGAGAGAAAAAAAAGTAGAGAGAAACATAATGTTTTCTTAGATTATTACAGCAGTGAACTATTTCCACCTGGTAAGAAGGGTGCACTTGAGAATGGGGTTCAAGTACTCTAGGAACATAGATGTAAGTTCTGGATGCACAGTAGTTGTTGCTTAGCTGTAAGCTGGAAATTTCAAGGCAGAAACAGCAGATACCACAACTATAACTGGGTCTCCTTGTTTTTTGTTTTATGTGTATACGTGAGATTATGGGGAAAGACAAAAGTAATGCATAGAGATTTATTTTTTAACATTCAATTCATAAGCAGTGTTTATACCTCTTTGTACTTACTTGAAAAGTGTATATTATGTAAATTTAGTATAAAAACACTTGGACTAATTCATACCATGTGGTAAAATTTCACATTCAAAAGAAATACCCTTCTGTTATTAAAAATAAAAAAAAAAAGGAGCCAGGAGGGTGGCTCATGACTGTAATCCCAGTGCTCTGGGAAGCCAAGGTGGAGGGATCATTTGAGGCCAGGACTACTTGAGAACAGCCTGGGCAACATAGCTAGATCCCTTCTCTACAAAAAGTAAAAAAAAAAAAAAAAAAAAAAAAAAAAATAGCTAGGCAGGGTGGCACATGACTGGCTATTAAGGAGGCTCAGGTGGAGGGATCTCTTCAGCCCAGGAATTTAAGGCTTCAGTGAGCTAAGATTGGGCCATTGCACTCCAGCCAGGGCAACAGACCAAGACCCAGTCTCAAAATAAATAAATAAAAATGAAAGAAAGCAGTGCACTGAAAATCAATTTAAGTATTTACTGGAGTTGTCTTGAAGGCCCAATGGGAAATGTCAGTAAGGGCACATGAGAAAACACTTTAAGAACCTATTCTTCCAAAGATCTTTCCAGTATCTTATGACAACACAGTAAATTATACCCACTCCAAATGCAAAAGCTGAAACTACTCTGCTTTCTCACTTAACTACACTTTTGACTTTCGAAATACATTTCTCTCTTCGGATATGAGCTGCAAACTCCTTATATAAAGGCTCCAACTCTGCAGCCCTAATTATTCTAGTTGGCCCAAGAAAAATCCTAATTGTTTTATCTAAGGAGACGGAATTTTCCAATACTGTAGAGGCATGTGTGTGTGTTTGCTTTAAGGAAGCTGTTTTGGTAATAAAAAGTCACTGAGGGTCATAAATTCATGTTAACACATCCAGTGTACATGAAGTAGGCACCGAGTTAAACTATTTGTCTACTATATAGCATGTCATCTTAAAAGCCTTATTTTTTCCTCAAAATATTAACTTTATTTTTCTCCCTGTAAAATCAAGACACAGTTAAAATGTAGCCTTCCTCATTTTCTGGGAATACTTTCTAACAAGATATGCTTCTTTCCAATTGGACTTCTAAATTTCTAGCAATTCTAACAGTGCATAAAAGAGGCAACCCCAAAAGTGTAGCAGGTACTGAATAACAGATTTGCAGCCTTGGGTATCCACATTAAAATTTGAAATCTAAGTGAATTACTTCAAGCTGATTTCTTAGGTCAAGGAGAGATTATGGTCCTTAAATGCCTGATAAGGTCACATACACAATTTCAAGTGCATTATAGTAAATCCATGTGACAGCTCCTATAGCTACTAACCTGCTTCTGCCCTCACGGTAACGTGCACAATCTTCATCGCATGTCCTGGGTGGTGGTAGGAGCAGTAGAAACCCCCTGGGTCATGTCAGATTTAGAAAATATAAGCAATGGCTCATACACGAATTTTAAGTTGTAACCTACATGTGATAAGTTGCTTTATCTTCCAAATGTAATAAAAACCAGAAGTTACTTTGAAATAAATTGAAGGATTAGCAGTGGTGACTGAGGAATAAAAATTATAATTTAAAATTGTCCTTAAAGCTGGAATTCTTAACTTATTGACCTTATATCCTACATATTATAGGACTTTGTAAATTTAGGCTGATATGGAAATGTATATTTATATCAAATTTAAATTTTTAGAATGATGGTGCTACTATATTCTAATTGTTAATTTGATAATTGTAATTGTAATTTGTTAATTTGTTCTAATAATGTTTTCATGACATTATTCATTTGCTGCTTGGCTTGATGGCATAACAAGTATGGGTTATTTACCCTGAAAAGGAAACAGTATCACCCTTCCAGAATCTCTATTTACAGCTACAGAAGATGCAACACACCTGTTTCTGGACCACTTCCAGATCAGATGTGATGCATGCTTTAGATCATTTACTTTGATCTAGGAATTACTGTCTGGCATTTCGTGGTGTAGGGTAGGTGTCTCCAGCACTGTATAGGTGTCTGGAATTGAGATAAGAATCAATTTCAATACAAAATACATTTTTTGCTTAAAGCACGCAAGGATTCTATGAATTCAGGTAAATTCACAGGGTGGAAAACAGGAACTAATGTTATATATTCCTGTAGTTATCTTCATAATGAAGCAGAAAGAAAAACAAAAAAGTTACAAAAATAAATGAAAAGAACTGTATTTTCTAGAATTGAAAAATAATTCTTTTAGATGATAGATAAGATGTTTACATCAACCTGCAAAAAGTCAATGTTGAAGAGGTCTCATTGTATCTCACAGAATTTTGATTTGCCTACTCACCCACAGGAGACATTTCTGGGACAGTAGCAACATAAGGTCCATCCCAAAACTTTGGCTCATTATCATTAATATCCTGCACTTTGATGATGAATTCTGATTCAGGCTCCAGGGGCTTTCTGGTTTCTATGTCCACAGCCTGAGCACGAAGAGTGTAGAAAGGTTTTTCTTCTCTATCTAGGCTCCTTATTGCATGAATGTCCCCTGTGGTTTCATCAATGGTAAAAACGGTGCCAGCGCCATCTCCTGAGAGGGTGTATTTCGCAGTGCCCTTTCCCTTGTCTAAGTCGGAATGGAGCTTTAGGGAAGAGAGGGAGAGAGAGAGGAAGAGAAAGAGAAGGACAAAGAAAGAACACCATTAAAAGGATGTTGCCAAATTAAAAAGTCATAATTTGCAATACAATTCCTTTAATCAAAAATGTTAAATAAAAATCTTATGGTTCTGTTTTCTTGTTTTTTATTTCTCCAACTTCTTTTTATAAAAATTTCAACACAAAAAGTTGAAAACTGCAATGAACACATATACATATACATCCAAACATTCCTCCATTCGTCTATTAATCTGCTTGCCTTATCAGATAGGTCTCATATCCATTCTTCTGTTCATCCTTCTCTTAACCCATTTTTTTTTTTGAGGTGTTACAAAGATCAGAACAAAAGTACAACCTCAGATATAGCAGCAGGCAAAAAAAAAAAACAATAAATTTTGAAAATTTGTATTTAGTTCTTCTGTATCCCTTTGGGATAACATTTTCATAAAATGAAATGCACAAAACTTCAGTGTACTTATTGTTTCATTTTAAATAAACATTGCAATAAAAATAAATTAGCTCATAAACACCACAAAATAAACTTTCCAAGTGTTCTGAAGATGAAATCAATGACCTGAATCCAGTGGGAGATAGTGCAAAGGAACTCAGAAAACACTAAGCATTTTCATTTGTAAAGAAGGGAAAAATCTGGCAAATCAAGAGGTTTTCAGTGATATAGGGCAGAGCGTCTCATTTTAACAGGCTGAGTTTGAATGAGTTTACCACTATGATTGGTAGAATCACTGATTATCCTTTCAGATTCACAAATAGCTTGTTCCAATTCATTCTATATAGAGAATATTTATGTTGAGTAATATAGGAAAGCATTGAAATTCTGCTAATTTTGTTTTAAAATTCAACACATGTATGGTACATTACATTATAGCATGGAATAAGATACACATGAATAAGCGATAAGGAAGAGAACTAAAGAGTAGAGAGAATTATCAGTGTAATGCCATAAAGCAGCGTTGTTCAAACCGGAGACCAAGAATAAATGAAAAATGGACACAGTCTTAAAAGTATATAAATTATGTGTAAATAAATATATACATAAAATATTACATAAAATAAAATAGTACATCATATACAATTTTCTAGTAGTATATATTTGTATAAATATATTCTTATGCATAATATAATTATATATACATAACAGTCATAAATAATATTTATATTAATTTTTATGCAGATGCTGATTTAAATGTTTTAAACTATTCTTGCTCATTTGGGTATAGCCATTTGATTTCAGCATCCAAATTTTTACATGTAACAGCTTTTTCCAGACAACAGATCACCCAAAAGAAAATTAAACTTTTGCAGCATTTCTAACCATTTGGGCTACGCCTTAAAAATCTGCATATGAGCACTGCTCTTTGCAAATCATTGCTTAAGAATGAGTTCTGTTTTCCTAACATTTCAACACACACAAAAACTCTGAAAATATTTTAAATTATATAAATATCCTGTTGCAAATAAGCTTCCTGTGTATTAGTATGAGTAATTATAGCCCAAATAAATACAAGTTCAACTGTGGCTACATCTTTGCTCTTAAGCTCAAGAGCGTGCTTTAAGTTCAATAAAATAATATCATTGTTCATATTAATGTTATTAAGGTAAACTTATTCATTTTGTGACCCTGCATTTCCTTCAATATTTGTTCTAAAACTGTTTTGTATGAGAGTATAAGCATAACCATAAAAACCTGGTTGGGTAATATAATAAAAATAATGTGGCAACAATAAGAGGGAACAAGATTTTGACGTTCCTTTAAAAGTTTCTGTATATTTTACTTAAGTATAAAGAAAATTGTTATGAATGATAGGAGGAAGGATTTTTGTCCACCTATTAAAAAAAAACTGCTGTGAAGCATAGGAAGTTTCAAGCATAAAATCAAGCAGTAGATAAATGTTCTTTGAACTTATGAATTTCAAATTATAAATTTCAACCATGCTATTAAAGATATTCAACACAGTGGATATTCCTTTTGCTTTCAAATTTATCTAAATATATGAGACAGGCAAAAGCTCAATGCAAAAGGCATGACTTTATAAAATGGATCCATTTTGCCAACAGCTCAAAGAATTATGGTAATATTGTGGGAACTGAGTGAAAATTCAGAGTAGGTTTTGAAATGTGATACAAGTAGAATTTTAAAAAGAAAAAAGAAAAAAATTTCTGTATTTAGCTAAAATCATAACTGTTTCCTTTGCAAACTGACATAAAAATGAAGAAGCAAAATGTGTCTTTAGTTATATCCAAGTTCCAAATTCAAGTTAATTACTGCTGCTCCTCACTCTTCTACCTTTTCCTTCAAATTTAAAGATGGGCTTTGCAGAGATTAAAGCTTCAGAAAAAAATATGGGAAAATATGTTAAAATGTTGACCTGAAAATGAAGTGGATGACTATAAAACTCTTGAGAGAATTAGACTTTTTGTAGCAGTTTATTACATGATAATACCTTAAAGGAGATCACATTCAGTGACCTGCGTTGACAGGTAATATTTAAAATTAAGTATTAATGCTGATTAATTCAGGCAGATGGGTGGTAGCCTAAAGTATAGACATTTTTCCAATATTAATTTTGATATTAAATAAATGACATCGGCTCTTGTTGGATATTGTAAAATTTCCTTTACTTCAACTGTAAAATAATTTCAACAGTGAAAGGTATAAAGTAAGATGAAAATTTCCATCATGATCTTACCTAGAGATAACTTCTCTTTTTTTGAGTCGGAGTATCGCTCTCGTTGCCTAGGCTGGAGTGCAGTGGCGTGATCTCGGCTCACTGCAACCTCCACCTCTCGGGTTCAAGCAATTCTCCTGCCTCAGCCTCCAGAGCAGCTGGAACTACAAGGCGCATGCCACCATGCCAGGCTAATTTTTGTAGTTTTGATAGAGACAGGGTTTCACCATGTTGGTCAGGCTGGTCTCAAACCCCTTACCTCAAATAATCCGCCCGCCTCAGCCTCCCAAAGGGCTGGGATTATCGGCATGAGCCACTGCGCCCTGCCTTCTTTGTTAATTTTATATGTTTCGGTTATGTAAATATATAACTGAAAGGGTAAATATATATAAATACATATTTACTGCACATTTATATTGATATATATTTCTCTGCTTGTATCTATCTATATACACACTTTATAAATAAATGAGTCAAGATTTTTAAAACAAAATACCAAATTTTTCAGTATCATTTGAAATTTTTCAAAATTACTTTTTTAAAATTTCTGCATATTCATTCAGTGAAGTTGAATGATCCAGTGGGCACTCTGTATTCCTTCATAAACTGTGTGGTGAATGTGCGTGTGTGTATGTATGTATATGCACGTGTTTATGTGTTTTCTGGGGTTAATTTCCTTAAAATAAAAAGGCAACTGTCAAGACTAAAGCTATAATAATTTTTATGAATCTTAGAAAATGTTGAATTTTTAGTGATTCCAGAAATTGATCTCTATCGATGAAACTGCTTTCTCAAATACGTCAGCAATGGGATTCAGGCTTTGCTTACAATGTGAAGGAAGTTCTTAGTCTCATTTGCACAAAGAAGGAAGGAGGGCTAAAGATAAAAAGAACTCATAGTCTTTTCCATAGTTTTGGGTCATGTTCACTGTAAAAAAAAATCACAAGATGCCATTTTTACACAGCCTTTTTAATCTACACATACGGCAAGCTAATAATTCCAAAAAAATAATTTCTTTCCTTTGTAGCCATTTAAAACTAACAGCTAGAAATATTTCTTCTTCCAATTATTAAAAATAAGCTGTTTCTGAGTCGGTGCTGACTACATTTACTGATTGAAGCAGCCAACTCCAAATATACCATCTTTTAGTATTGACACTTAAAATAAAACTTCTCCCCAGAAAAAGAGTTCTATAAATGATGGCTGTAGAAATAGGCACTGTCCAGGCAGTTGTTTTGTGGAAGTAGTGTTGTTATTTTCTGGTGTTTTCCAAGTCATCTCAGATGGTGCGTGAAAATGAGATGCCAAAGAAGGCTTAAAAAAGATACCCTGCACCAGCTTCAGAATGTAAGCAAATCTTTCATTCCAGCGCTTAAAAGTTTTGAGAAAGCTAATCTAAAGTTAAATGTTTACTAGCATCTCTCCGATTATATTTTAGAAACTACTGCACAAAAATAAAACAAATTTCTTATTTTCTCTGGGTTGAAAAGTGCACATAAAATGGAAAATGCTTTTTATACCACTATTTCCAGCAGGGATTTTATTTTCATTTGTCATTTGCCAGCCTGGGGTATGTTGGGAGAAGGAACAATTGATTTTTGAAAAGGTGCATTTGTGTGAAAACCAAAAATTGTGTTCAACAAATACTACTACTAACCCATATGTGGATATATGTGTTTTATACATGAGTAAAAAAAAAAAAAAAAACATACATATATGTATGGCATATATATATATATATATATATATATATATATATATATATATATGCTATAGAAATGCCATCAAGTTACCAGTTTACTTCTAAATGTAACTGCTTAATATAAAATATGCATCTTTTTGTAGTACCTAATTCTTGCAATTCAGTGTATTTCCTGGCGAGAGGCAGAGATGAACAACCCTGGACAGTTACCACATATGGCTCTTATGAGGTAATGAGGATGGTTGTGATGAGAAGGGTAAAAAATAAAAAAGTTATTACAAAACATTTTTCAAGGAATTTTCCAAAAAATGATTTTAATATTCTCTTTGCTTATGGAATGATATTTAAAACCATGATTTCTGTGTCCTTTAAAATGACTTCTGATTTGTGAATTGTTCTCTGTGCTCCAAACTTCTTTTATTTGTCCCTGTGTTTATGCTCATAACCATTCATTTCCCTCTTTTCCCACTGACTTAGCCTCTGGGGTTGTAAAGAAGTTACTCGTTTATTTTTGTGTATGTGTGGGGTTTTGTCTTTTGTTTTCTGAGAATAAAGTATATGAGATCATGGAAAAAATCAGAAAACGAGGAAAATCATAAATTCATTACCAAAATAATTTCTGATTTGGTATTATAGCTCTGCAAATTACTTCACTAATTGTGTTCATAGGTACTATGGTACACTGTACACTGTTTTGTAACTTGCTTTTTAGATGGATTATATCATATTTTTCTGTATCAATAAATATGAATTCATTACATCAGTTTAAACTGATCAAAAACATTTTAATCAAAGTAATACAATTAAATTGCTAAATATCATAGGGAATCGAAGAGTTTATAATCCCAAACCATACTCTTTCTTTTCCTAGCCAGCTGGGGACATTTTTAATTGTTTCTATTTTCATTCTTTCTGTTTCAGTTCTTATAAAAATACATATATAAAATTGGCTAAATGATTAAATGTTATAGTAGTTCTTTAATTATAAATTTGAATAATATTTGTTGACTTCCAAACTGCATACCCCTTGCCTTGTCCAAGTAAAACTGTACCATCGTTTATTCTCTGTGTTGTCAATAAAACACTAAGTGATATCTGAGTTTCTAAATTTCAGTTCACTCATAGAATGTATCCTTTTTTTTCTTCTTGCCTCCAACATTTTATTATGAAATTTTCAAATTCATGATAAAAGTATATAGTATTCATCTGTATACTTACCTCCTAGTCTATATATTTTTTACATACTGTTTATAATTGTTTTATTATTTTCTACCCATTTGTCTATCTGTTAACCCAGCTTAATTTTTGATGCATTTAAAAGTAGGTTGTAGATACAAATAACCATCACCCTAACACCCTTCAATACAATGTTTACAGTTGTTTTTTTGACATTGGAATGTATCTGTGGTTTCTCTATTTCATAGGATCATAGCATTAACACCTTTACACTTCCCCTTACATCTCCTTCCATTTCTTCTCCCCGTCCGCCACCAGCTTCCATCATCTGTATTATACAGAATCTGTCCTAAAAAATTCTGAAGTAGGCCTTAGGTTTTTTTTGTTTTTTTAAAGGGTCTTGTTCTGTGGCCCAAGCTACAGTGCAGTGGCACAATCTCAGCTCACTGCAGCCTCTGCCTCCTGGGCTCAAGTAATCCTCCTGAATAGCAGGGATTACAGGCACAGACTACCATGCTTAGCTAATTTTTCTATTTTTTTATTTGTAGAGATGGGGTTTCATCATATTACCCAGGCTGGTCTCAAACTTCTGGGCTCAAGCAATCTACCTGCCTATGCCTCTGAATGTGCTGGGATTACAGGTGTGAGACACCCTGTGTGGCCAGGCCTCTTTTTAAAAATAAGCCTGATAGTTAATTTTATATGTCAATTTGACTGAGCCATAAGTTGCCCAGAGATTTTGTCAAGCATTATCCTGGGTGTGCCTCTGTGGGTGTTTCTGAATGAGATTAGTATTTAAATCAGTAGACTGAATAAAATAGATTGCCTTCCCTAATGTGGATGGGCCTCATTCAATAGCTGTGGGAATGAATAGATCAAAAGGGCAAACCCCTCCGTGAGTGACAGAGATCTCTTCCTGCCTGACTGCCTTCAAGCTGAGACACTGGAATTTTTTTTCTGCCTTTTGACTTCAATTAAAACATTGGCTTTTCCTGGGTCTTGAGCCTGCCCGTCTTTAGACTAGAACTAGAAGCTATCCTGGGTCTACAGTTTGCCAACTGCATACCTTTGGACTAGTCAGCCTTTATAATTGTGTGAGCCAATTCCTTATAACAAATCTTTATATATCGATATATAGAGATATATATTGATATATATATATATACCTATATAGAGAGATATATCTATATATCTATATAGATATCTATACCTATATAGAGAGATATGTCTATATCCATATATAGATATATAGAGATCCATATATATCCTCTATATATGGATACATCTATATATAGAGAGATCTCTCTAAATATCTCTATATCTATAACTATATCTACATCTACATCTATAGCTATATCAACATCCAATTTGTTCTTTTTCTCTGAGAACACCTACTGATAAATAAGTTTCTAAGTTTTGTCTATCAGTTGATGCTAAAACATTAAAAAAAGAGAACAACTAATACTCTTTTTACACTAATTAGAACAATGTAAGCCTTTTTGTTTTATTACCAAATAATTTGTATTTCCTATGTAATTGCTGCAGTTTTATTTTGCATATAGATTTTTTTTCCGTAACATCTTTGTCTGTTAGTGGTTTTATTTATGTATTTTTTTAATATCCTTAGATTCATCCCACTTCTGAGGTCAGACATCACATCTTTTCACTACATGCCTCTCTTTGGGAGGTTTCTTTCTTGCTAATCCAAACAAGAACATCTGCACAATTGTCAACCTGGAATTTACTTTATTAATCTCCTGGTTTGGAAACACTTTTTCTTGGATGTTATATTTACTTTGGTTTACTATTTTGTTGGCTTGCACTAATTTTATATGATTTCTTAATAATGAGTGTATGTTAGACATTTTACTTGAGTCTTTTCATATCACGGTATGCCTTTATTTTACCCTCATATATAATTAATTTTCATCTGGGCATATATTTCCAGATTAGAAATCATTTCTTTTCATACATTTTAAGGAATTTATACATTTGCATCTGAAATTGTATTCATTATCTTCTAGAAACCAAGAGTGGACTTGGTATCCGTCTGATTATATTTTCTTTGTTGGTAAAGAGCCTCTTTTTTCCCTTTTTATTTTCATCTTCTCTTTCTCTAGTGTTTATAATCTTATTTTTATGAATGTAGTCTAATTATTTAGAACACTGTCTCCGAGTATGTGTTTATTTGGGTTTGTGTTTTGAACATTGCCTCCAGGTGCGAGTTTATGTGTGTTTATGTTTCCTATTTGAGGTTGGACACTTAGAAAATTTTCTCAATTCGAAAACTATTTTCCTTCAGCACTCAGAAATTTTTATCAATGATTATTTCCACGATTATTTCCTGTCCTTGGTTTTTCGTGTTCTTAACCTAGAATTCAATTGTTTAATGTTAGACCTTACACATCTTCAATGTATCATATATATTTCACTCATATTATTTATTGTCATATCTTTTGGACTATTGTGTGAAAGCAATAAATGTATATTACTTTATTTATTGGTAATGCTCTTCATTTTCAAATTTAATACACACAAATTGTGCATACCCACACACATATACCACAGATATATTCATTTTCAGGATTTCTTTAAGTGTTATTTTAAAAATAATCATATTCTTATTTTGTGAACTGTGGGATTTCTTGAAACTTTTTGAAAACTCTCATTAGTCTGTGTTTGTGTGGTTTCTTTAAATTATCTCTTCCTTCAGAATTACTTTTGTGTTTTGAATTTGAGTCTTTGCCATTCATAAGGCGGGCTTTCCTTGAATACCAGATAACTCTGAGTTTCCTGTTCATATTTAAGAATAAATAACCTAATTTGAAGTTTTGAGTTTTTGAGTTGTATTTATTGATCAGAGTTTTGGCCTAGAATGAATAAAAGAATCAATCATTTCTTCTACTTTCAGATATTCGGTTGGGGGTGTTCTAAGCACAATGGTGTCCCAACACTGTCCTAATTCTTTACAGGTTACCTACAGAATAACGTCTTTTAAAAATTATTTCTTTATTGTTTACATTCTGGTCATTAATGCCTATATTTTATGCATTCTCAAGCATATAGGAGAAATTCTGTATATAGAATATTAGTTCATCTCTGTGTTTTTCCTGGCAAATTTTATGCCTTTTCTTTGGAATCACTGCCAAATCTGGGTCTCTTTCAGAGCTGTGCCTTCATTGCTGGAGCCCTCTCAGTGTAAACACTCGCATATAGCTCCTTTGGGCTTGTTTAAACAGTCACCAATCCTTCACCTATGTGCAATGTTACAGAAATTGGCCATCTTCTCTGATGACCTCTACGCCACTCCCTCCCATCAGAATTACGGGTTGTTATTTTTGTTCCTCTGCTATAAATTACTGATGCTCTCTGAAGAGGAGTTAAAGGTGTTTGGGAGGTACACCATTTCCCTGTACCAAAATCATATTAAGTAAAACTTGAAATCAACAGAAAAAATAGAAGTAATTATATGATGAAAATCTATATTCTCACAATCTAGATTAAACCATTCTCAACATTTTGTTGTATTTGCTTTACTTTCATATATGGATGATTTGAAAATAATTTACAAACATCATACCAACTCACTACACAATATTTCAGCACCAGTTTTCTGAAAATAAGACCTTTTCCTGCATAACCACATTGTCACAGTTTCAGTTAAGAAAATTAATTAAAATGCCTGTTATCACTTAATAATGGGTCATATTCAATACCCCCACTTCTCTCTCCAAATATCTTTGTAGCATTTTCTTTCTTTGTTTTCTGAACACGAAGCCCCATAAGTTTCAAGCATTGCATTTGGATTAGTGTCTTTACTTTCCTTAATATAGACGGATCACATATTTAAATATTAACAATTTATTTGTCATTATCTTTTGTCATGGAACTAGGTCCCCATTTTGAATTTTTCTGCTGGAATGAGAAACTTCCAGACATGTGGTCTAAATCTTTATTGCTCTATCTGTTTTACTATCGCTCTTCTTCAGTCTCAAAACATATATGGACAAAAGCAATCACATAAAGGTCTGTCCTACTTAATATGGACATCTTTATAAAAGCAGTTACAGAATCTTCTGATAGATCTATACACACATTCAGATGTAAGGGATATGTTTCTTATACAGGATACTCTCAGTACATTTTGTTGTAATAATCACGTATAAGTGGTAAGACCCATTACCATTCTTGAAATCTATGATTATAAGTGATGTAGAATGGTTTAGTAGTTAGTGATTGAGATTTAAAGTAATATTGTCACTGATTTGTTTACTTACACACAGGATTTACTCACTTAAACCAGCCAATATGAGTATAAGAAAATTTTGCGTGAGTTTCTTTGTCTGAAATAATTTTATTATGTACAACACAAACTACTTTTGCTAGATTCTTCCTGGTAAACTTATAAAACACTTAGTGTTTCCTTTTTTGAAGTTGCCTAGTTTCATGCTAATACTTATTCTGAGCTCAAGAACATCATAGTGGCCATTATATTAACTACAAAGCCATTAGATTATACTTAAGGTATTTATAGATGAAAGAAGATCAGACCCAAAGATGATCTATAACTCTGCCTGAGTAATGTTATGCAAATTGTTCTCTTTTCAAAGTCACCGAATGCCCAAGAATATTTAACATTCTATGCTAGTCTACTCTCCTGAGGTGACTCATTTGTTCTCCCTAGTTTAATTGTTGCTATATGAGCAAGAGGGATACCACTTTACAAGGTTAGGAATTCCCTCTAACAGCCCAATGTGCTTTGAGAACTCCCCTGCCTGAGTAACAGACCCAGAGCTATTTATCATCTGGAAATATTTCACCTTATATTGAAGAGAGCAGAAATCCATCTCAAAAAGGCCCCCAAGCATCCCCAGTGTATGCCAAAGAAGCTCACAGAAGAAAAAAGAATATTTGCAATGCTCAAGAGCAAAAAAGCTTATGTGCTAGGATATATTATACATCCTGTTATAGAAAAAAAAATATGCTATTCCCCCAATGCTGTCTTTTATCTTTCTTACTTTGCTCGAATATTGCCTTCATGGCTACATATAAAAGCCATCCTATTTTCTCAGATTGTCATATTTTACAACTTTAGCTCACTCCAATTATAATCTCTCATTTCAAAGTGTCACAATATGTGAATAAGAACTTCTATAAAAGTTGGAGAGGTCACTGGCTTGGACCCAGGATTTGGGAAGAAAAATATGAGAGAAGGTTAAAATAACTTCTTTCTTACTTTTCCAACATTGTAAAACATATTTCACAAGCTCGGTTTTAGGGAAAAAATTTCCAGACAATAAACCATTCATATCAAATTTTCAGTAATGGAATCTCTATTTTGAATAACAGTAAATTTGATGTATCATTTCAAACAATGTAGTTATTTTTCAGAATACTACATAAATGTATGTGATTTAGTCTAGATTTAAAAATAAATGCCAATAATAATCAGTTGTTAATAACAATACATTACTATAGTTAGATATCATTTCTTAATTTATTGTTAGCATTTCTTCATTATTTCCATTATTAGCTCTTATCGAATATTATATACTATGTTAAATGCCTTATAGGTTTTATTTAATTTTGACTAACCACTGATATGCTATCATGAAAAATCTAGTAATAAAATCTTTTTAACTGAATTCAAATAGTCCCAAGTGCAAAATAAAATTTTAAAAACTATATGTCCTACACTAATTTATTTGCATATGCACTTAATAATCCCAATAAAGCAGCTTAACCCAAATCTGAACTCGAATGTAAAACTCCATCTAACCTAATTTCTTTCTGTTAGTCTTTATTATCATAGTCACTTCTATTTATGTTTTATTTTCTCCTTTATTTTTTAATTTTTTTTATTTTAAATACCCTTTTATTTAATGGTATAAAATGTCTGGCTACATAAAATCAAATCAATTACGATAAGATAAATATAAGTACGATTTCAAAAAAAGCTAAATCTAGCTAAAAATTCTACATTTTTAACACATGCGAAGTATACATGATTTATTAGTAAAATGTAATACATTGGGAGTAAAACTTTAAAAAATATTTGATATATTCACATTTCTTAATTGCAGTATAGACAAAATGACCTACGAATCAAGCATTTTGTTCCACGGTCTCTACTGTTAGCTGCATGTCTCAGAAACAGCTTCTTTCTCAAGAGAGAACAAGAGGGATAATGCTGGATCTAAAGGCATCATCTGAAGAAGACAAAGATATCAACAATCGCAACTATTTGGCTTTCTGTCCATCACTGAGACTTTTCATAATCTTCCCTTCATAAATAGGATCTCTTGATCAGAACAGAAAAGTTGAGTCTTAAATTTCCTGTATTTATTTCTGACTGATACTGAGGGAAGTGCAAATTTGGTTGCTATGATTAAACTCCTTGATTGTTCTTAATGGGACTCTTTTAATAAGTCAAACATTTTTGCCATCTAAGTATATTGATGAGCGCCACTTTATCTCAAATGTTTACACATACTAGGGAAAAGCATCTGCAGTTTCTGAACTCTTTGTGAATCAGTATCACTTTTTCATGTTACTTCAGAGATCAATATTCAGTGCATTGGTTTTATTTACCATCTTTTCTCCCAGTTGATCTTGTAATCATCAGAAAGGGAAAAAAAATCTCCTTCACAAAGCCCTTTGCGACAAACTTATGTAAATAATAATCTAAGGACAGCTAGAAAAAAAATACACCATACAGGGGAATAGATCCAAAATTGATATCTGCCTCACCTGTATCACCTATTGTATTAGTAACTGGAAAGGTAAATAAATAACAGAGACTAGAATGTTTCCAAACGTAGTAGTGAAAACTACTCCCCTCCTCCCCCCATATAACACTACAACAGGTTACTTTGGTTACAGGATATGACAATAGCTCTGCAATATCAGAAAAATGCCTGCCTGGCGCTGCGGCTTATGTCTGTAATCTGAGCACTTTGGGAGGCTGAGGTGGGCGGATCACTGGAGGTCAGGAGTTGGAGACCAACCCGGCCAACATAGTGAAAACCCGTCTCTACTAAAAATACAAAAATTAGGTGTGGTGGCGGACGCCTGTAGTCCCAGCTACTTGGGAGGCTGAGGCAGGAGAATGGCGTGAACCTGGGAGGTGGAGCTTGCATTGAGCCGAGATCACTGCACTGTACTCCAGCCTGGGCGACAGAGCGAGACTCCATCTCAAAAAAAAAAAAAAAAAAAAATGCCTACAGTAGATTAGAAATAAGGAAAAGTTGCTTGATTTCCTAATTTTCAGGGTATAAGAAGAAATCTAGGCTATCCATGGGCATTCCCAGAAACATCAAGGTTTGCTAAAAACAGAAAATCGGAAGTAGAACAAAAAAAGCGGTGGGAAAAGCATTTAAGACATTGAGGCAAGCCGTGAGGAGTTTGTCAGTCTAAAGGTTGAGTAGAGGACCCTTAAGAAGAGGGAGACAAACATTAAATTTTCAACTTTCTGTAGTTTGATATAATACTTTCCAAGTTCTAGGGTTTCATTAAAACTTCACAAGCTTTTGGATTTTTTAACAAATATTAGGGCTGTGCTTCATGCTTGGGTTAATATGGGGTGAATAGAAGGAACAGCTGGGGAAGAAGAGATAAGAGACAGGTTCTCTAGTAGAAATTAGGAGAAACGTAAGAATCCTATACATCTGCGTATATTTGAGGAGTCTTTAGAGTTCACTGAAGTTCATGGATCGGACGTTATAGCCATTTTAATGTATTTTCATTGTGACAGGATTGACTTTAGAAGGCTTAAGAATTTTGACGAAGAAAAAAGGGGAAAAAGAAGGCATAATAGAGAGAAAGGAAGGAAAGAAGAAAAGACAAAAGTGTAGCCACAAAGTTGTCAACAATAAGAATTGTATAAGAATACATATTCTTCAAGAAATGAAAATAATTAGAACACACATTATGCCTAAATACGTTTTAAGAAATCAAATAAACATGTAGTTTCTAATGGAAGTTCTTCCATGTATTAGTAAATTCTTCCCACAAAGCAGTTTATCTATTTATTGTGAAAGCGATTGAGTTTTGCAGTACCAAGGGATCTTTTGCTTTTAAACCAGTTAATTAGTTTTTATTAGATGCAATGCAATGTTTTGACCAGACTTTTCTCTGTGCTTTTGGGTGGGTTTCCCTATTAGCAGGTAAAACATTTATCTCTTGACTAAAAGTAGATGACATCTTTCCCCAACCATGAGTCCTCAGGTTGTTACAGAGGCTGCCTTCCTGTCTCACTCTGTACCCCCCATTGCCTCTCCGAGTTTAAAAAGGAAATGATTAATTAGTCAAAAGAATATGTCAAAAATGTAACATATTATGTTTAACATAAGTAACTAATGATTAGTCAAAAAGAATATGCTAAAACTTTAACACATTATGTTTAACATAAGTAACTATATTAAAATTTAGAATATATTTATGATTTCCAAATCAATGGTTTGTTTTTGCAAAACCTGCACCAGAATGAAATGACCCTACAAAGTGGAGATAATATAAAATCCTTTTTTTCCACTGAAATTTGTTTTAGATAATACTAATTCTATCAGTGGCTTTCTTTTACCCTTAAATGGATGTTAAATTAGTTGAGAGATGTGTTCAATTCACAATATTTGAGAATGGAGCAATATGATACACTTATATCAAATCCCTTTGTGTAATCTTATTCTTTCTCTGGCTGTTGTACACTTTTCCACCACCTCATATTTAATTTGTATCCTTCTTTCTGTCATTTGCTGTGGATTTTTATCAGAGTTGGTCTAACTTTAGAGGTCGAAGTTTTCTTTTCACAGGGATATGAAATTAGACACAATCATACCATATTTAGTGATTTCTGTGTTTTCACCAGATCAAACACAGATCACATGGTCCATGCTCAGCAATGGTTTAATGAACTAATGAATTTATAAAGGAACGAATGCATGCACATATAGCAAGCCCATCTTTAAATTTTGTTGTTGTTGTCGTTTGAATTTTTGTTTGGCATATAGGGTGTATACAACATAAAAAGAGTTAAAATCCATGATCCTGAACATCAGATATTTGTGGGTTAGAATCCGAAACTGATCACTTATTACATTTGTGTTATTGTGTAAATTACTGAATTTCTTCATACCTCAGAGTCTTCATATGTAAAATGTAGACTATAATATTTATATCATAAATTTGGAGAATACTGTAGAGAATTTGGCTTCACAGTTTGTTTTCCTTCATTTCTCTCCCTTCATATCCAAATAAGCCCAGTATAGCAATATTCCTTTCTATTTATATTAACTTATATAAATGTGCATGAGAAAACTGATTGGATTCAATAAGATGGTAGAAAAAGCTATCAAGCTTCTATATTTTGCCAGGCAACTTTCTAATGGCTTTATGTGTCTAAACCCACTTTAATACTCAGAAAAACACTATGATTACAATCCTTCTATTAGCATTCTCATGTTGTAGATACAGAAATTGAGGGACAGGCAGGCTAACTTGGCTCAAGACACACAAGTAAAAATATTCAGAGCAGAGATTAAACCAGGTTGTCTAACCCCACGTGTCTTTGGGACTAGCATTTAAACTGAATCATCTCACTTTTAATTTGATAATACAATGCCATTAACAGGAAAAAAAACTTTTGAAATATCTTGAGAGAAAAAAACCAAAAAAGCTGAATCTATGTTCAGAGAATTGAATTAGCAATAGATATAAACTACCCAAGTTTTCGTTTTGTGACATCAATTTGAGCAAAGCCAGATTTGTATTACCCTGAATGCATTAATAACAATAGTATCATTGAAAAATACTTTCGACTGCCCATTAGTAATTGTACTAGGTACTAGAAAACACAATTTAGTAATCGCTCCCAGGGAGTCAGTTTTTTGAATAAAATATTTTTCTATGGTTGTGCACATTGTGCCATAATTTGCTTTGAAAGACATAAAATCCATCATATTAAAAAGGTAATAGAGTAACTCCATTTAATAACAGAAATGGTCATTAAAATATCTACATTCTTTCTCACAATGAACTAATAACTACACAGATTTGTGCATGTGTATGAAGACGTTTATATGTGTTTTATGTGAGAGAAAAAAATGAAAAAATGGTATTTTCTTGTGCTCAGACAAGCACAATTTTTGCAAAATAAATACAAGGCCAAATATATATATTTATTTATATATATATATACTTGTTATATATGTATATATAGGTTATATATATATTTGTTATATATATAACAAATATATATATAATTTGTTAAATATATAACATTTATATATATGTATATATATCTCAATGCTCTTAACAATGCTCATAAGAACACAATCTGAAATTACAGTGTCTGCTTATTTTCAAGGGTGGTTTGAAGGTGACCTATTTTTTGTAGCATCCATCACTGTGGGGATTGCTTAGTGTGTTAAAGCATGAAGCCGCCTTACCGAAGTCTTCTATTTCCTTTCCTCATTCTATAGTAACTACTTCAAATGGATTTGAATGTGTAATATCACAAATGCAGAAAAAATAAATACAAGAACTTAGCTTGTTTTCTTTGCATTATGAGTCAAGTTTTTTTGTCAAATTTACTGCTAAGAATTAATATTTCATGGTCTTATATCTTGTAATAGTATCATAAATATTATCTTACTTGCATAATAATTTATACATAATATTTATTTTCTGCCCCATAGTGTGAAAATGAGTAATCTTAATCCCAAAGATAAATATTAACTATCCTGTGTAAGAAATGCAGTAAGTTACATCTTGTTTCTAAATACAGGTTAGTGAGAGATCATTTTTTTAAAGCTCTCATTATAAACATATTAAGAAAGGAATCATTCTCAGAGTTTACTTATTTCCCAATAGGTTAATAGGATTCCCAAGAAACTGCCAAAGAGATAATAGTTCCATTTTGACTTTAACTTAAAAGAAAAAAATAAAATAAGAAGGCAAAAATGCAAAAACGAAAAAAATAGATGTCACAGATGCTATAACTTGAACTTTGACTGTTTTAGCAAGTATATACTATTGAATGCCTGACTGAAATAAATTGATTTCAGGCTGTTGCATTTTTAAAGGTCAGAAAGTTTTTTTTTTTTTTTTTTTTTTAAATGAGTTTCAGGATTATGAAAGCAGGTGCTTAAGTAGAGATTGATTGAAGCCTTAAATGTTGAATATTTCTTTTAAAGTTTGGTTGCTTTTCAGAAGCTACTAATTTATTATTATTATTATTAAGGTTCTCCTAATGATTCTTGGAGTCCATGGAATTATGTGTGTGCATACGTGTTCGTAGAACATTTTCTTAAAACTGACACATGAATGTTATTGACCATAGAGGTGCATTATTTCCGAGATTAAAAAAAAAAAATTAGTTTTCTTACTGATCATCCACTGGTTTTTACAATTTTTCCTTCTCCATGTATCGTTGGTTTCTTATTAAGGTAAGTTACAGACAGAACTTATAGATGGAATTTCCAAGACTAACCAGGGTCCAAACATACTTCAGTGTATTATTTTACATCATAAAACTTGATGTATTAGTCCATTTTCACTCTGCTGTAAAGAATTACCTGAGACTGGGTAATTTATAAAGAAAAGAAGTTTAATTGATTCACAATTCTGCACAGCTGGGGAGGCCTCAGAAAACTTACAACCTTGGCAGAAGGCGAGGCACATCTTACATGGCGGCAGGAGAGAGAGAGAGAGATAGCCAGGGGTGAAGTGCCACAATTTAATACCATCAGATCTTATGAGAACTCACTCACTATCAGAACGATGAGGGGGACATCTGCCCTCATGATCTAATCACCTCCCACTAGGCCCCTCCTCCAACATGTGGATATTACAATTCGAGATGAGATTGGCGGGGGGTGGAGGGTGGACATAGAGCCAAACCATATCACTTTAGCTTATCAATACTGAACTAAATCAAAATCAAACCTGAATTTTCAATTATGACTGAAATGTAACCTACAGAGTAGTAGGAAGTATTCTACAACAGACTCCTAGATTTCTCTCCCCTGAGTGTCCATATCCTGCATAATCTCCAGGACTGTCAGGACAATGGATTTTATTACTATGCTTATGCTATGTCATATGACACAGTTAATCTTCAAATAAGATTATTTGGGTGGGCCTAACCCTATCACATGAGACCTGTAAAGCAGAAAGTTTTTTCCAAGTGTAAGAAAAGGAAGTCCAAAACACATGCTCCAGCCAGCTTGGAAGAAAGCAAATACATGTGTTAAAGCTGTGGATGCAGAGAAGCCACCTGCAGGAGTTGAACTACCTACACCCCAGCTCACAGCTGGCAGTAACAAAGGAAACCTCAACCTTAAGAGAGCAAGGAAGTGTCTTCTATCAACAATATGAATTATCTTCAAAGCTGCTTCTTCCCTAAGAGCCTCAAGAGATGAACACAGCCCTGCTGACACCTTGGTTTCAATCTTGTGAGACCCTGAGCAAAGAACTCATTCACACTGGGCTGAATTTTTGCCTGCAGAACTGTGAGTTAATAAATAAGGGTTATTTTCAGCTGCTAAGTTTATGGAAATTTGAAATGCAGCAATAGAATACTAGTACAGATAAATACTGAAATCTAATATTTGCATTACTTCACTTAAAAAGAAATCATGCCTTAAGAGTAAAGAGAATTTTTATTTCTCGGTTATGTGCTATAGTTCTCTGATACATTTTAATTTGTTTGCTTATTTATTTTTCCCTGCCAGTATCCTCTCTCCACTATTTCTGGTTGACACTTCTGCCCCTTCGTTTTATCAGTGTTTTGATACCTATCCTCTCTGTGAATACAGTGATATTGGTAATTACTGTATTTTGTCCCTTACCCACAGGCTGAGCAAGAGTCTTAGGTCTGGCCAATAATCATGGGCAGCTTTTTAGAAAAAAGAGTAGTTGCTTCATTACTCAGATGGTCCCCACCTCATCTTGTGCACTGGACAATGTAATAGAGTTCCCTCTAAAAATGGAGAAAATAGAGACTACACACAAAGGGAGACAGAGGTAAGAAAATTAAGAAAAGGAGAAAGAAAGGAGTTCTGACCACATGATGTCAATTCCAACAAGTATTCTTGACTTTTCCACATATAATGTACTCATCAATCTCTTACTCTGAATTTGTTTTTGTTACTCTAAAGAACAACAACAACAAAAAAGAAAAACAATATTCGGCCTAAGTGACCCCCAAAACACAATTTCCTACTTTCTTTTCCATGCAACTGGCATTTATTGAATACTCATTGTATTCAAGTTTCACAGATTTGGAACAAGTTCATCATTACGTCCCCAAAGGTAACCTGGGAAGAGAAACCTTGTTCCACATCAAAGTCAGTACAGCAGGTTTTGCTACTGCTTCATCATTTATACAGTTGGAAACAACTCTGTTTCTTCTACTAGGTCAAAGTGAAATTGAGAGGCGAAGCCGGCTGGGCTTCTGGTCTGGTGAGACTTGGAGAACTTCTCTGTCCAGCTAAACGATTGTAAACATACCAATTAGCACTCTGTGTCTAGCTGAAGATTTGTAAACACACCAATCAGTACTCTGTAAAAGCGGACCAATCAGCACTCTGTAAAATGGACCAATCAGCAGGATGTGGGCAGGGCCAAATAAGGGAATAAAAGCTGGCCACCTGAGCCAGCAACGGCAACCGAGTGGGGTCCCCTTCTACACTGTGGAAGCTTTGTTCTTTTGCTCTTGCTGCTGCTCACTCTTTGGGTCTGCACTACCTTTATGAGCTGTAACACTCACGGTGAGGGTCTGCCACTTCACACCTGAAGTCAGTGAGACCAGGAACCCACCAGAAGGAAGACACTCCAGACACATCTGAACATGGGAAGGAACAAACTCTGGACACACCATGTTTAAGAACTGGAACACTCACCGCCATCACGGCTTAGTGCTTGAAGTCAGCGAGACCAAGAACCTACCGGAAGGAACCAATTCCAGACACAAAATGTCAGCCAATCCAAACTTATGAAGGAGGGAATTCTGGGCTGTTGATCTAGTGTGTAGTGAGCTCAATATAGAGGACAGAGCTTTCATCATGTAAATTGATATGCAAAGGCAAATGAAACGTGGTGTGTACTTCCTACTGATGCGTCAGGGTATAGGCCTCTTTTTCTGCCATTCAAATAATGGAAGTTAATTAAATTTTAAACAAATGTATAGATTCATTAGTTTTACTGTGCTCCATGCCAGTATTCTCCAACTCAGCCATCCTAAGCATTTTTTAAAACAGGGGATTTTTGAAAATGAAAGCTTAGCAGCCACCTCATTATGCTAAATGTCTGTGGAAAAATGCGGGGCCAGGGTTCAGTTTCTCCCCACTCCCCTTTCCCAATTCATAATCATAGGCACACACAGGAGGTATCACTGTAATTCACAGAACACATTTAAATCTTCTGCTTGAAACTTTGTGGTACCATTATTTGGCTACTCCAAGCTAACCTCTCTCCTATCCTTTTCTGAGGGAAACACTTTGTGCTCAACATAATTTTTGTTTCATTCCAAGTTTTGATGCTGATTGCATAAAAAACAGCCCACAAGTACTGCTGTATTTTTAGTTTAAAACAGGCTTTATTTACTGCCTTATAAAATGTTGAGTACTTTTGCTTCCGTGATCATGCTATGCTTACAGATATAAAAATTGCCGCCCATTTTATGTCTTGAATCCTTCCCTGAGTAGTCGGCATAACATTTGTTGGTTCTGAGTACACGTTGGTGCTAATGAAGCTTGAAATTTATTGACCTTCTCGTAAGAAGGAGAATAATAAGATATTTGAGCAGTCGGCTCAGGTACTTATAAGTTCACACACACGTGTTTTTTTTTTTTTTTTTTTTCTTCCAATGCCTGCTTGAAGTGTAGACCATGTCTTTCTCGTACTAGAACTATTTCTACTACGATTCTTGAGCTGGCCATTCTAGAGCTTTGCACATTCCTTGTCTGAAGGGATCGGCCCTGGCCATGCCAGCTGCCTCCCAGCCATAGGTAGCTCCTAAACCAAATTATACTTGTGATCAGGTATTGCAAAAATAATGTTAGTGTAATATAAATTGGTAAGAAGAAAGTATAGATTTTAAAAGAAAACCAAATGGTCTTCATGCATGGCTTCTGTCGGCATAAAATCAGGCCGCTGGAACTAGGAAGTTCCTTAGAGAACATTGTTTCAATTACTTCAGTTCACAAATGAGGAAATTGAGAATCAGGAAGGCTAAGTGATTTCCCCAATATCATAGAGCTAGTTAATTACAGAAATCAGAATAGAAACTGGGTTATCCAATCCTCTGCCCAGGGTTCTTTCCATTACACCAAATAAAATTACCTGCTGCTATTTGGGCTAGATGGCTCATTATAGGAGCCTTTTAATGTTTCACAAATCAAAATATTATGTTCCTATAAAATTTAAAACAGTTAAAAATAAAACAAGTTTTGTTTTCTGATGGTTTCAGATAAAATACATTACATTAAATGGATTTCATATGTAAATGTGTTACCGCATTTATATGAGGAAAAAGTTCTACCAGAAAGCATTAGGAACTGAGAATTGATGGCTGCCAGGATTAGAAAGGATGACATCAAGTTCAAGCTCCAGTAGCAACACAGAAAAATATAACATGGAGTAAAATTAGTAGATAGAAGCGTCATTATCTGACTTGGGTATGTTTGAAGAGAAAAATGTAAATCAAAAGAAATGGGATTATTTGTTTATTAATAATGACATTAATATTTTCTATTTGAATAATTGCTATAGACCTGTGAATTATTTTATAGATATTATCTTCTTTGACATTATTAATAATCGTTTTCTTCTTAGCAATCAAGATGAGGGGGCTAAACCTTGGGATATTAAAGTATTTGTCCAGCATATTGCAGCAAACAGGTTCAGAGTCTGGGAACAAAACTCAGGTGTCCTGACTTTGTCTCAATAATACATATTCTCTGGTTTTATTTTAAATTTTACTGTAATCTATTTTGGAAGCTTTTCAACAATGAAAAAGAATACTGTTCCTCCAATATTTATCCCTGTTTAAAGGGCCCAAAGTTGTGGTCATGAAGAAGCAGTAAATGATGAATATTTTCTGCATTTCACATCTTTTATCACATGTTATATATTGTGGGGCATAAAATTTTATGAAATTATAGTTACATGCCTGAAATGGATTTTAAATCTCTTCATTTTCTGTGTCAAAAGTGACAGCTGTAAACCTGAAAAATTAAAGCTGCGGTGTAATTCATCTTATCCATAAATAGTTTACTATACATTATACAGTTTGAAGTAAACAATAGACCAGACTTAAAAATGATATTTTTCCATGGAAAACTATGTGATAAATACTAGAGATGCCATGAATATAACTGAAATTATATCACTTAAATATAGACAGAAGATTCTCTACTTTCTTCTTTTACCTTCTTTCTCTCATACTCAAAAGATATGAAAATGTCAAATAATATGCATATTTTAAAGTTGTTTGCACTGCAAATAGATAAACGAAATCGATCTGCAAATTTCCAAGCTAAGAGATGATTATATCTAAAGTAATTCACCTGATTATTTAGGATTGCCTGCAAAATCTACAATGATTTTATTCCTCACAATATTGTTTTCCAATTTGGGGTAGGAGCTAAAAGTTATTGTATGACATCAAGTGATTTGAGGGATGAGAATGTGTTTCCTTAGCGGGAAAACTTGCTGAAAAGAAGAGAGATTTTTTAAAAAGTTCTTGCTTTGACCTGTCTGGATCAGATGGTTTAAGGCTACAACACGAGGCCAATATCTGTATGTGAAGGAGACAGAAACATCAATGTTTGGAGTATATATTGACCTTCATTCTTACTTTCTCCTTATTCTCTTATGTAACTGTTAATTTTTCCCTTCCTTGGCTCTATGTATTTAATTATAATAAGCTTTACCTACAAGCAAAACAAACCAAACATGAACAATGAAAACTACTTTTGGTCATGTAGCAGAAACAGCAGTCAATAAAGGAGAGAATGAAACTAGAATCTTTTTTAAACTAAATCTGAGAAGAGTGTAAGCTTTCAAAATTTTAAATATATATATACATTTGCACTTCAGTGATAGTGCAATTCCAGTCCTTCCACCACAGATCATGTGTGGTTTTATCTATTAGCATAATGTTAGTTTTCTCTTGCATCTTATGTTGAGTTTACGTAGTACAGAGGACACAAATAGTTCCCTGCTTAAAATGAGAACTAATCCTTTTGTGTTATTAATAATTACAATATCAAAGTTTACATTAAAATTTTTAAAAATGTCTGTACAAAATATCAGAAAAATCAGCCTACTTCTTTATAATTGGCTGGGTAAAGTTGCATTGATGTTAGATCTTTATAAAATATTTTAAGGGTCAGCATTTTAAGCAGAATAGCAGTAAATAGTTCCTTACATAAAAGCAAACTTAAACATATGACAGTGTCTTCTCGTGTGTCATTTGAATGAGGGAACCACAGTTGGTCTCCTGAGAAACTGTTCTACCCTTCATTTCATGATACACAGTACCCTAGGCTCTGTCTTTCTTCGTTCTTTTCCTTCTCAAGGGAAGGTTTCTTCCTTCAAAATGAGGCATAGATAAAGAAGGATCTTATATTTACTATAACTTATGCATGTTTAATTGTTTTAAAACATCATACAGAGAAAATTAAATACCACAAACGAAAGTATTTAATCTTAAAGTTTGCCTTAACGGTCTCCATTTCCATTCACAGTGCTTAGAGGTGAAGTGCTTCCACCATTTACAATTTGCAGCAGGACATACTGGCAGGAAATCTTTATTAAAGCAATAGTAGCCCTTTCCTTTTTTCTTTATTTATTTTACAAACCAACCCTTAGTTACTATGCTTTAGCTGAGACTTACCAATTTTTCTTCAAGTATCAATTAAGGTAGACATATTATTCATCATGAGAGAATTACCATTCAGTATTCTCTGGGTGCTTTTTCTCACATACTTGTATCTTGGTCTTAAAAATGAAGCACCAACATTTAAAAGGCAAACATGAGACCATCTCTTCTGAGACTGCCATTGTATCTAATATTGTCTGATTCAAAATGTGGGTCTAAAAGCAAATGAAAATTGACTTTCTTTTCCAGCTCGGCACACAAACCCATTGAACTGTCCCTTCAGGTTTGATGCGCTATCAGTTAACACTGCACTATCTTCACAAGAAATATGATTTGACCTGAGAAGAACTGCAGCAGCCTGAAACATATATTCCCAGATCATGTCTCTCAGAGTACTGTAGCCATTAAATGTCTTCCATAATGTTCGTGATAAATCTGAGTATTAGTGAACAATATCTGTTAAAGGCATCTCTTTGGAACTTCAAGTCTAGTGTACAGGTGCGCATCTGCAATGGGATTTTCCAGTCATAAATGTCGATAGGTCAATCTATCAAGGTTTTCCTCAAACAAGTATATATACTCAGCACTAGTGAAGTTTTATTTTTTAGAATTTATTTTGTATCTCTAGGTGGATATAATGTAGAATATCACTTAAAGGCATAGACTTTAAAATCAACTGCCTGGGTTTGGTGCTATGACCTTGGGCAAAATAATTAACTTTGTATGTGTAAAAGGGAAATAACTGTGGCAGTTGGGAGAATTAAATAAAATAATAAAAAGTTAAGAGTTTAGTACAATGCAAATACTTTGCACTACTAGGCATTACCTAGTATTTCCTTCCACCCATTTGTGTCTAGTTTCTTTTTCCCATGGTTGTTTGAGCCGATCTGCTCATTTGCTGTTATTAATGAAGTTCAGTCACAGTGTAGAAATGTGACTCCTGCTATTTGCTTTTTCTTTTCTTTTTTCTTTTTAAAATTGTTTTGTAGAGATGGAATACTGCTATGTTGCCCAGGCTTGTTTTGAACTCCTGGCCTTAAGCTAGTCTCTCGCCTTGGCCTCCCAAAGCTCTGGGATTACAGGTGTGAGCCACCACACTCAGCCCCATGTGCTGTTTCTTATGCTTAATGTTTTTTGGTTATTTTTTTTTTATCTTTGACAGCCTGAGCCAATATCTATGTGTACTAGGAAAATGCCACGTAGAACACTGAGCCTGGCATCACATCAGCCGTTGGCCTGAGTGCAAATGATATCTGCAAGACCAAACAGATAAAGCTATATGTATAAGTCTCAGAAAGAGTAGGAGGACTCAACTTTGGTGATCACTTTATCAAGTTAATCTCAACAAATAAGCAAGGGGTGGGACTCAACCTCTTCATTCTTACTGTAGCAATCTGGAATCAGTCCATCACCATGACTGATGGTGTAAAATGACATAATTACTCATTAATCTCCACTTAGAAAGTATATATTGCTACTGGCTGGAAATACTGCAGCAACCAGGAGGACCTTCACATTTCTACCATGTAGAAGAATTAAAGATTATTACATTCTGTCTTCAAGTGATGATCGGATAGTGCACAAATATTTTACCTGCCATACATATAAATTCAGCCAATGTGCAATTTAGTTTACAATATTCTTCAGCTGCAAAAGGGTACTTATACTTTCTTTAATATCTATTCAGCTCGAAAAAAAGCCTATCATATCTATTAAAATCAATAGACTTTTTACTTTGCATTTGTTGTTTACTTACATTATTAGAAAAAAGAAGTAATCAGTACTGTAGAAAATTTCATTGATGCAGTTTTCCTTTTCCTGAATATTTTATAAATTAGAAAATAAAGGCCAAGACATATTAAATAACTTGCCCAATCCTAGGTAGCTGGAACATAGGGAGTAAAAACACAGACGTGACTTCACCCTCTAAATTTGTCACCATTAATTGTTGTAGCTTTCAGCAAATGATTACTTCAGAACATTAAATCATAAGACAATGAGATACACTATCTTTTATTTCACTGAAGCTAGTGAACATCTATTTTAAGCAATGTCTTTAACAGTTTCTTAGCCTTTTGGGATCTGATTGCAAAGTTGTTAATGAGCATGACAGCCACCGCTAGAGGCCTACCTGATATCCCGTTCCCCTTCTCCTTATTAATAGAATCCTTCCATAGTCACAGCATGTATCATCAATGGCTGTGTTTTGCCCAATTAAAATGCTCACTCCTCCCAGAATGCCTCAGAGCTAGAGTACACATGTGACTTCATTTCACCTTATGCAGTAAACATGGGAAAAATCTTTTGGGGCTTTTTAGGAAAAGTTTTTTTAATTATTTTATTCTATTTTTTAACTTTTAGGTTCAGGAGTACGTGTGCAGGTTTGTTATATAGGTAAATTGAGTGTCATGGGGGTTTGGTGTACAGATTATTTCATCACCCAGGTTATAGGCATGGTACCCAATGGCTAGGTTTTCATTCTGCACCCTCCTCCTTCCCTCTGCCCTCGAGTAGGCCCTGTCTGTTGTTCCTTTCTTTGTATCCACCTGTATTCATACTGCATGTACTTTTTGCTGCTTTTTTTTTTAATCTCTCCATTTTTTTCCTTTGTCTTTTCCATGGCTTGCCAAAATAATGATTAGAGATGCAGAAACTGGTTTACGATCATAAAAAAGAAAGCCACATGTTTGATTGAGAAATTAAAAGGTCCTTTTTTGATGTTATCATGGAGTTGCTGTATAAGACCCAGGATGCCAATCTTTGGGTTGCTGTATAAGACCCACGAGAAAAATAAATCCTTCTTTGTTTAAGAGATTATAATTGGATTTCCATTCTGTGCTGCTGAATCCAAATCTGACCTAGGAGATTACTAGGTCAGTATTTTTCTTCATGCAGCAGTGTTTATACTTGTAAAAGTTATTTATGACTTTATAGGAAGAATCATATCAATGTAAAACATATGTAAAAGAGAGACTCCAAAACTCATTTAGTTTGCTCTATACTAGTCAGTAAATATAAAATGAAAAATATTCCAAACATTTTTATTGATAGAGTCATTTAATTTTGTATTTTTAAATGACAAATGAATACTTTATGCAAAGAAAACTTATTATGAACTCTCTAATAAATAATGAAACAATTATTTTGTAAAGCATTTTAAAAAGACAAGAACATTTAAAGGGAAATGATCTGTATTGAGAATACAGAGCTACCCTTTTGTTACAAATCAGGTAACTGTTCTATATACTATTTTGCATAAAACTGCTATAAAGTTTGTATTTTAATAATGCAGTTTTCCATTTTGTAAATATATTTTCTTACAAAATATGAGATGCATTTAAAAATGATATTTATTCATTGGATTTATTCTCCATATCCCTTAAAATTCAATTAAATCATTTACAAATTGTCTGGTTTTAACTTATCTGATTGAACATCTGTAAATAATGTGTTTGAGCAAAATTCACTTTTTTATAAAATTGCAAGTATGGGTATCTTTTAGGGACATGTGGGTGACTCTTTCAATATAGAAGATCACACAAAATTTGGCCATAACACGTCACATATCTCCATAGCCTAGAGACACATCATGAAATAAAGTATTTCATTAGCCTGCTGGGACAAGATTCAGTGTGCACAGCAATATGGAAAAAAAAATCAATATAATGAACATTTTCATAAGCTCAGATTTCCTGATTAAAGTATGATTCTCTGAAGACTGCTTCAAAATGGATATAAATATAAGTACTTTCTCACTGAGCACTCTAAGAGAAAGTTTGGAACACATTCTATTTTGAACATTATAAATTGTGCTTTCAAAAATGATATATAGCTAAAGAAAATTATTTAAACAAAAATGGGCTTTTGATTTAGTGGATATATGCCTAAAAACTGTATATTTTTCATTTTAATAATACCTGTATGGGAAATATATATGGGTGTTAAGGGATCTTATTGCCAGTCAGATAATGGAATTTGCTTTTATAAATTTATGAATAATTCTTACCTTATATAATATATATAAAATTTTCAGTATGATGCATGTATATTAAAATGTATAAAAAGAACTATAATCGTCACATTTTCTCCAAGCATTTATGTGAACAACATGTGAGCTGGGGAGAGAATCAGAGGTTTATTTAACTGGAATTAGTTAATGAAGTCATCTGTCACTGTTAATTTCTTGCCTTGCTATTCCGTTATCAAAGCAACTGAAATGATCTTAAAAGCCAACCATTACAATCATTAATACTCAAAGTAAATATTACATTTATAGATGCAGTAATCTCAAACCTAGCACTTTCATTCAATCATAGATTCTATCATATGAAGAAAGCCAAAGAGACAATTTCAGAGTAAACATTGTTAATGGAAATTACGTTTTGAAAGGGCCTCAATTACATTGGCAGTGGGCCGTCCTCTGAGCACCATAAGAAAAATGTAATTTCATTGAATAATTCTAGTGTTGCATTGACTGGAATCAAAAAGTGAGTAATTCATTTGTACTTATAAAAGGAAAAATACTTCACTACCACACAGAAAGTGGAGAAGAAGCACACTGGACTGTGAGCTTCTAAAGGGAATATTTCCCCAAGACCCATCTTCATAGTCAATAAATAAATGTTTATTTGTTTCGTTTCATGAAAGAATAAATGATCAGTAGGCCCCTGCTTCCAAAAAAAAAAAAAAAAAAAGGATTTACATTTAGGTTAAATTCCAGAAGTGTAATACTAAGAAGTGTCTTTTTTAATTTAAAGCTTCATGCTATGTTAAAACATTTTTGGCTCAAAATTATCTTCTTTTTTTGTCCCATTTCTGTCTGAGCACTTTGAAATAGTAATTTAGTTTTACAAATGGAAATGATTTGACTAAGAACAGGAGGGTCTGATGCAGAAAAAGCCTCAAATCCTGGATCCAGATTCAATGTATTTATCTTTATATCAGTGAATGAGAATACAAATGTACGCATTAAACCTCAGTCCATTTCTCTTCCATTCTTCTAAAACAGCCACCCATTAATTTCTTACCTCTGTTCATTATTAAGCAGAACACATATGGTTTGCATTTTCATAAGACACTTGTAAACTATTCCTTCCTCATGCTGTTATTTTGTGGTAATTGTCAAAGCTACTTATGAAGCCACTCTCAGTGCATAGAAATCCTACACTGAACCCCACTGGAGAAATGAGGGGACTAGTGTATATTGTTAGCAATAGGAAGGCTCCTATTTCACTCAGTAAAACCTAAATCCTTGGAGTGGCCTTCAAGTTCCTACACTTTCTGGCCCCTACACTCATTCCCACTGTTTCCTTAACCTCATTTCCTATTACTCTCTTCTCGCTGTTCATGCACGCTGCCCTGCCACCTCAGGGAGTTTGCACTGCTGTTCCCATACCTAGAGTGCTATTCCCTAGATATCCGCATGGCTAATTCTCACTTCTTTCAGTCCACATTGTTGCTGAAATATCAACCAAATTGAGTATTGTTGTCAATCCCACTTTATTTTGTATTATAAGTACGGGGGTACATGTGCAGGTTTGTTACATGGATGTATTGGGTAATGGTGAGGTTTGTGCTTCTAATGTACCCATCACCCATAAAGTAAACATTGTACCCAATAGGTTATTTTTCAACCCTCATCTCTCTCCTATCCTCCCCACTTTTAGAGTCCCCAATGCCTATTATTTTCCTCTTTATGTCCATGTGTACTCATTGTTTAGCTTCCGCTTATAAGTGAGAATATGCAGTACTTGATTTTTCGAGTTATTTCACCCACGATAATGGCCTCCAGCTCTATATGTGTTGCTGCAAAACACACGATTTTATTCTTTTTATGGCTGGTATATGTACCATATTTTCTTTTTTCTTTCTTTCTTTACTGTATTTATTTATTTATTCATTTATTGAGACAGAGTCTTGCTCTGTTACTCAGGCTGGAGTGCAATGGCGCAGCCTAGGCTCACTGCAGCCTTTGCCTCCTGGGTTCCAGCAATTCTCCTGCCTCAGCCTCCTGGGTAGCTGGGATTACAGGCACCTGCCACCACACTTGGCTAATTTTTTTGTATGTTTAGTAGAGTCAAGGTTTCGCCATGTTGGCCAGGCTGGTCTCGAACTCCTGACCTCAGGTGATCTGCCCGCCTCGGCCTCCCAAAGTGCTGGGATTACAGGCATGAGCCACCGTGCTCGGCCCTAGTATGTACCATATTTTCTTTATCCAGTCATCCATTGATGGGCACTGAGGTAGATTTCATGACTTTCCTATTATGAATAGTGCTGCAATAAACATAGCAGTGCAGGTGTCTTTTTATAAAAATGATTCCTTTTCCTTGGTGTAGATATACAGCAGTGGGTCAATCCCATTTTAAAATGCAACCTGCTTTGACCTCAAACACTCTTGATCTTTCTAATTGTTGTGATCTACTTAAAAAAAAAAAAACCCACTGGCCATTTTCTAATGTATTGTATTAAAACATTTTTACCTGATATTTATTGTTTCTTTATCATTCTACTGGACCTTAATTTCTATGAGAGCAGAGGATATTGTCTGTTTTACACTGCAAATATACCCAAACCACTCAGAACAGTGTTTTGTTTACTGCCACTATCAGACACTTTTTGAATTAATGAATAAATTTATAATCAGTCCTTCAATTATTTTTTCCTAAATTGCCTGAAATTGTATACCTAGTCAACTTACTCTCCTACTCTCTGCAATGGGTTTTCAAATGTATTCAAACTTCTGGTTACCTTAGAACTTCTAGTGCCATCCCTTTACCTTTGCAGCTTATAGGTCACCTTTGTTCTCAGGTTGGCTCAATCCTATGGAAAAGCTTTCTATCCTCTTTCTACCAACTACTAAAGCTGTTTATCATTTTCTTTTGGAAACATCTTTCTTTGGCTTCTGAGGCATCCCACAGACCAGATTTTCTATCTCCTCATCTGGCCCTCTTTATCAGTTTCCTTTGCATGGTTATACTTCCTTGCCCCACTTATTGGGTAACTCTATGTCTGTGTTTCAGGCCACCTCTCTACTTTTAATTTTTTTTTAAATATAGATGGGGGTCTCATTATATTGACCAAGGTGGTCCCAAACCCCTGGCCTCAAGCAGTTCTCCCATCTTGGCCTCCAAAAGTGCTAGGATTACAGGCATGAGACACTGTGCCCAGCCAAGCCCACCTCTCTGCTTATTTGAAATGCTTTCTCGGGTAATTTCATTCATTTTTACAGCCTCAATCCTTATTAATACACCTAAATATCCCTCTCATCTAAACTTCTGCTTTTAAGTTCCAGTCTATTGTTTCAGTCTCTACCCAGATGTCTCAAAACTTTATGTCTATAAATGTGTAAATAACAAGAACTTGATCTATTTAGAAATTATATAATAGTAAACATTACTCATAATTTAACTGTGAAAACACCACAGTTTTGAATCTTATGTCTGAAGGCTTTAGTGAGTTCACCTATAGATATAACATTTGCAAACTAATAGGTGAGAGATTGGGCTTTGAGTCAGATATTGGTTTGAGTCCATGCTCTGTTCTTTTTAACTTCATTAGTTTTCTTATCTTCTCTATTTCTCAGGGTCCTCATCGGTATAATCTGATCACTGACAGTAACTAGCACATTAGGTCGCTCTAAGCATGAAAATAGGTAATGCATGTGAAGTGTTCACACTGTAACAACCTTGCATTAATCCCTCAGAACAGTTTTTTATTATTATTAAAATTAGTATTGTTTTATTTTCCTGTTTATCTCAAATTATAAACTTTATAAATAATATGAGTCATTTTCTTTAATATTGGCCTATGAATCATAAACAAATAATTCATAGGCCAATATTAAAGAGAATGAACTCATGTTATTTAAAATTATTTATTTACACTTTTGACAATAAAAACAGAATTACCAACCAGTTGCATTCAAGTCACTAAATTAATTGTTTTAGAAAATCTCTATTCTTGGATTGCATAGGAAAAATCTAGTGTAACAGTAGATAGCACTATATAGGGAAACCAATAAAGGTAATAAAAGACAGATCCTGGACTTATCTTCTCGTGTATTAACATTAAATGAGGATGATAACAAGCTCAAGAGATCTGTTATACAACGTGGCGACCATAGTTAATAGCAATGTATTGTATAGAGTGCTTGAAAATCACTGAGAGTAGATTTCAAGTGTTCTCACTTTAATATCTGGTAAGTATGTGAGGTAAGCCATATATTAATTAGCTTGATTTAGCCATTGCACAATGTGTACATAGTCCAAAACATACTGTTGTACACCATAAATATATACAACTTTTTTGTTAGTTAAAAAAATAGTAAAATGATGATGACAAACACAGACCAGGAAGTAATAGTGTGGCTTCCACTAAGCCTATTTTATAAAAATAAAACATTCTGTTGTTTGTATCAGTTGGCCTGCAAAATCCAGAAAAATTATTCCCGTTTAAATCATAACACTTTCTGGTTTCATTTAATTCCACTGTTATTGTTAGGTTGAGAAATGTAAATAAATGTATAGAGATGCAAACTGAAAATAACAGGGACTAAACCTTCTCCCCATGGTTTCCCAGGAAGAAGATGGTGAAGTTAGAAATTCTTCCTAGTTTCCTTTCATTTATACAAAATCACACAGTAGCTAGGCTATATAATGTTTTGGCTGATGATTTCAATGCCTGTTACACATATCATTTTGTTATTTTGCGGCTTTTCTGGTTTTTTTCATTATCCTTCATCTGTCTATTTTCAGTTGCAAAGGAAATGTTTGTGTTGTATATGTGTTGTGTACATGCATGTTTTGAGATTGAGAGAAAAAGAGACAGACAGACACACAGGGACAGAAAGAGAGAAAACAGGAGCTCATACTGATTTTGTATTCATTAGAAGGCAAGCCCCATGAAGGTGGTAGACGTCCTGCTTTCCTCGCTGCTGTTATTTTTGTATTATCTTGATGCTTTTGGCACTCACCATATATTTGTTGGCTGTGTCGTGAAATGACATTCCCTGCTTTCGGAATTATGAGGAGGAGATGAGTTACTTATAAAAGCACTTAGAATTCTGCTCACATGGCCGGGCGCGGTGGCTCACGCCTGTAATCCCAGCACTTTGGGAGGCCGAGGCGGGTGGATCATGAGGTCAGGAGATCGAGACCATCCTGGCTAACAAGGTGAAACCCCGTCTCTACTAAAAATACAAAAAATTAGCCGGGCGCGGTGGCGGGCGCCTGTAGTCCCAGCTACTCGGGAGGCTGAGGCAGGAGAATGGCGTGAACCCGGGAAGCGGAGCTTGCAGTGAGCCGAGATTGCGCCACTGCAGTCCGCAGTCCGGCCTGGGCGACAGAGCGAGACTCCGTCTCAAAAAAAAAAAAAAAAAAGAATTCTGCTCACATGAACTATACAATTTTTTTTTTTTTTTTTTTTTTTTTAGATGGAGTCTCGCTCTGTCACCCAGGCTGAAGTGCAGTGGCATGATCTTGGCTCACTGTAACCTCCACCTCCTGGGTTCAAGCAAATCTCCTGCCTCAGCCTCCAGAGTAGCTGGGATTACAGGCGTCCACCACCACGCCTGGCTAATTTTTGTATTTCAGTAGAGATGGAGTTTCACCTTGTTGGCCAGGCTGGTCTCCAACTCCTGACCTCAAGTGATCCGCCCACCTCTGCCTCCCAAAGTGCTGGGATTACAGGCGTGAGCCACTGCACCCAACCTACAAGCTCCTTAAATTGTATTTTTATTATGAAGACCCTCAAGTTTCACAGCCACTTGAGGTTTGATCATATCCTTTGTTTTATCTATAAATTTGCTCAAAGAGACTTCCCTCTCCATCTGTTTGTGATAGTTTTGTTGGGAACTCATTTCCATAGAACTTTATCTGAGGGAATATTTGAGGACTGGGCTTAGGGTACATTCCTCAGCATAGGATTTGGGTTTGCATGTCCCAGATATCTGGGATTGCTCCTGACCTGAGACCATTTTAAAACCACATTTGGGACTTTAAGGTCTTCTGGGACCCTTCCCCGGTGTGAAGGAGAGCCCATGGAGAAGAATTCTGCCAGGAGTCTTCTCTTTCCCTTCTCTACACAGAACAGTCTCTGAGACAGTCATGGTTATCTTCCATCCTCTTCTATGGGGTAGAACTTGCTTAATTTTTTGAATGTTTTAGTCTCATTTAGGGGTGCTAATCTAAGCTCTACCTGGACTGTGTGGCCATAGTCCTTGTTTACTGTCTCACACTTGGGTGTGGCCTATTAAATCTCAAACTCTGCATCGATGGGACCCCAGTGGTGTACTTCTAATGCCATCAAGAGAACATGATGCAAGAAGCTGAGGTGACTAATATTCCCTGTTCTTACACTCTGGATCTACCACCACTAAGGCCATGTTCTTTCAGGCTTCCCAGCTAATGAATAAGCGAAACAGAATTAATAATGCCAGCTCATCCTTGTAGGATGTGCACTCCTCTGACTTTGGCTACAGGACTCACCATCTCTCTGGCCAACATTACTGTTTTCAGAGCTGCCCTATTATATGAGGGCCTTCCTGCACGCCCTACTTCCATTCACAAATTTCAGCCTTGCATCAAAATCCAAAGGCTCTGCCTGTCTTCTCTGGCACCTTCCCATTGATCCTTCACAGAAATTTCCCCCCCAAATTTCTCCAACATATAATTATAACTTGGTGATTAGAACTGACGAGTAAGTAGCAAACACTAATCTAGGACAAGCATACTTTTCAAAAGGAATGTTACTTGTTGATTGTAACTTTTAAGAATTTACTTTACATTAACATCAACTCAACTGTGCAGTAAAAATAAATAAATCATTAATTTTAACATTTTTATTTTTAACGTTATGTGTTCTAGAAGAAAGTTTGTAGTTGGCCCGGCGCGGTGATTCATGCCTGTAATCCCTGCACTTCGGGAGGCCGAGGCAGGTGGATCACTTGAGGCCAAGAGTTCCAGACCAGCCTGGCCAGCATGGCAAAACCTCATCTTTACTAAAAATGCAAAAATTAGCTGAGCGTGGTGGCGGTTGCCTGTAATTCCAGCCATTTGGGAGGCTGAGGCAGGAGAATTGCTTGAACCTGGGAGGCAGAGGTTGCAGTGAGCCAAGAAACTGTCTCAAAAAAAAAGAAAAAAAAAAAGAAAAAAGAGAAAGAAGGAAAGAAAGAAAGAAAGAAAAGTTCTAGTTTCTCACTTTACGAGAAATGGGTCAGCACTGTCTTTTCCATATCAACATAAAACAATTGTGTGGGCTCTTTGACTAAAAATATAAAATGTACCTGAGAAATGTATATACTAAGTTATTTTTAATCTTGATGAACTATTGCTTTACCAACATATTGGAAGCTGTGTTAGTAGTGGCCTAATTTTCCAGAATTTTGATGATGCATATATGTGAGTATATCTTAAGCTAATGAAACTAATTAATGGATTGTAAAATTTTCTCTTTTGCTTCTCCCTTTTCCATGCCAGTTTTCACATAAATAGGACAATATCTTCTTACTTTTCCTGTCATCATGAGAATGCTGGACTAAGAATTTATGGGCATTAACCCCCCCATCTATTTAACCACCTATATTACATGTGTCCCTGATGTAACCTGAGCAAACTTAGCAAGTCTTTTATTCTGGGTGAATGCCCCGCTTCACCCAAATCATGAATGCTCTTTGCTTCATGGAACTCTATTGCTTTTGTTCCCAGAACCAATTATATCTTAGCTAATCTCTTGCCCCTTTAATTATCCTTGATAGTTTTCCAAATAAAATATGCAATCTGTGAACACTTTATTAGTCCCACTCTCTGGTTTATCCATTCATGGGTAAGGATACAGAATTGTCTGAATCCAGCTTATTATAAATTCATTATTCTCAATTGTGCCCAATGACAAAATTTTCCTTGCCCTGGGTCAACAATATTCTCAGTCATCTCTACTATTTAACTGTAAATCTCAAACTATGTGCTGTTTAGAATTATATGTGCCTATCCCATTCTGCCGGACGTACGTGTTCTTTTCTCCATGAGATTTACATCCTGTAATGCTCTGATTCAGAATTTTGGGGCCCAATCCCTATTCATTTGTGTCTTAACAGTCTTTGAAGGGATGTTTGACTTCAAGGATTCCTTGAAGTTTCCCTCTGAGCAAAGGTGAGATGCCTTTTGATTCATGCTTGCGTCATTACTAGCCCAGGTTTAGCTGACTTTTTTAGTGTAGGATTTGCAATTAACACACAATAAAGGCTCTCTGAACTTTAGTCTCTTTTCGAGGGAAATAACCATAAACATACTGCCACTCAGTACAGATGGAGAGGTTAGTGAAAATAAGCAGCATTTATGAAGGCATGCCAGAAGGACTATGGGCCAGCCATTTTCTCTGGATACTGGAAATTCTTCCTGTAATGAAGCCAGACCTGCATAGAGTATTAATACTCAACCACACAAAATTCAGATCTTACAGAAGTGCTTTTACAAAATATTCTTACAAAGACTCAGAGGGGGAAATTACAAGAAAATATTCTGTGAAACATCAGATTATTTACTTAAAGTTATTGTTGATGGCCATTATTTTCAGTACTCTTAGAAAAAGGATAATGAGAGATTTTTTTATTATGCAGCTAAAAGGAATAGTTTTGCCTTTTATTGAACAAAACAATTGTGTGTATGTTCATTTAACTTCTGGAAGATCTGAATCATGTAATTGTATCTGTTTTTTTCTATTTGTGGATAGACAGAACACTTAGAGCCACATGTGGAATACATTGCTAGAAACTAATTCTTCTTGGCATGGACTTTGTATACTAACTTAGTCCCTGGTTTCAAAGAATTTTTATTTTTCTTTCATTTTGATGTCCTCATCTAATTAATTTTATTGTATTTCATTCTGTTGGGTTATATGCAATTATAAGGCACAAAGTCTTACTGAAAAAAGAACATGAAATAAGCAAATATGCAAAAAAGATTAATATTCTATGAACAGTTCATATCTCATGCTTATACATAACTATCAAAGCACACACAATACTTGACATTTTATACATGTTCAGCAAACATTTATTTACCAAATGAAGAAAACTAGGGATTGGAAAACAAAGCTGTTTCTTCAATATTTTTTATTTATTAAAAAATACTACTAGAGTTTGTAATCCTGGCTGACTTTTATCTCAAAAGAGTCAACTCTGTATTATTGAAGTGCAGATTAATGGTTTAAATATTAATTGCATCCAAAATTTACATATTCTTATATAATTAAAATATACACTATATTTTTGAAAAGTTTAATTATTAACGATCAGTTTAACAACTAGAGATATAAGAATATATATGCTATTGGAATTTGTGATTAGCAAATTCCACTTGGAGTCTGCAACGTACAATGACATGCAAATTCCATTTTCCATTGTTTGTATTGTATTTTTAAACATCAAAAGAAAAAATGTTTTTAACTTTAACTCTAATATAATGTTGTCAAATAAGTGAAAGAGTTGTTAGACTTTAAAAAAACACATTACAATAGTGAGAAGCAGAATAAGTTATTTGTGATATGAAAGAGAAAAATGATGAGTTAATATAATTTTAATTCCAGTTGAGTTAAGAAAATGAAAAAGTGCATCATTGTCTCTTCTACTTGCAAATGATATTTCTTCTATTTTTAAGAGAGTAAAATTTGTCTTTCAGTTGACAGTGAGTTACAGGTGAAAAGCTTTTACTCTGATGTTTTACAGAACTGCTAAAATGTCCATGTGTTATTCTATAGAGAATTGTAATAGAGTTTAGTAGTATAAAAGTGTGAAAGATGTTTTTTACCTTAATATATGATATTTACTTGGTTGAGTTATATAACATTCAAAAATAGAGAATTTGGAGCCTGAAAACCTTGATTTCAGTTTAGCCTCCACTACTTACTGGATTTGTGACCTTAAGCAAGTTATTTCATTTTTCTCAAACTGGGTTTCCTCTTAGATGAAAATAACAATATCTACCTTCCTTTCATGTGATTTATTGAGACCAAATTGGAGTAATAGATAGTATAACTAGAACTTGGTTTTAAGTTATTTAAACATTATTTACTAGGTAAAACTTGTGCCTGTATAAAAATGAGAAACTTTATCTCTGAATGCAGATGCCATGTTTTCATTATTTGATAGAGATAAATAAACATGGAAATTGTATTACAATTTATACCAAACTGCAAGGGGCCAGGTGAGTCAACCAAATTATACGGACATGTCAAAACATGCTGTTTTACTTTGTTTTCATACTGCTATAAAGAACTGCCAGAGACTGTGTAATTCATAAACGAAAGAGGTTTAACTGAATTACAATTAAGCATGGCTGGGGAGGCCTCAGGAAACTTAGGAAATCATAGCAGAAGTTGAAAGGGAAGCAAGGAAACTTCTTCACAAGGTGGCAGGAAGAAGTGCCGAGCAAAGCGGGGAAGAACTCCTTATAAAACCATCAGATAACCTGAGAACTCACTCACTATCACAAGAACAGCAAGGGGCAAACCACCCCCATGATTCAATTACCTCCACCAGGTCTCTCCCTTGCTAGGTGGGGATTACGGAGATAATAATTCAAGATGAGATTTGGGTGGGGACACAAAGCCTAACTATATCACATTGAGTGAATGCATGCATATTCTTAAATGCAAAAATTGTAAATACATATATAAATAGATAAATAGATGTTTAGTGGAATGTAGATTTCTCTAAATATCTATGCAATTTTCATGAATATGAGGTGCAGGAACAATAACATTAAGAGTATCTAATATTATCTCAGCTCATACTGGCTGTGGTGTAGAATTCATAAGAGGAAGGCAGATTAAGTTCCCATTTCTTAGCTATTCTTAATATAAAGCAGTTTTAAAAACCCTGGTTATAGGATCCTATGAGACAAGCCTTAAAGGTATCTGATTGATTTAGATATAAATGACATATGGTTTTTTTTCTTATTATCAAGATGTTTTTGTAAATCTCATCTTTTTAAAGTGTCTCTTAATACACTTCTCTTTTTAACATTGGCTTCTAGAAAAAAATAATGAAGTAAGAAAAGAAAAGGGATTCTACATCTTGAGTGAGAAATTGCCTTATAAAAATGAACAAATAGAGGCTGGATGCAGTGGCTCACACCTGTAGTCCCAGCACTTTGGGAGGCTGAGGCAGGCAGATCACTTTAGGTCAGGAGTTCAAACCCAGCCTGGCCCACATGGTGAAAACCCATCTCTACTAAAAATGCAAAAATTAGCCAAGTGTGGTGGCACGCACCTGTAATTTCAGCTACTTGGGAGGCTGAAGAAGAAGAATTGCTTGAACCCAGGAGGCGGATGCTGCAGTGCACTGAGATCACGCCACTGCACTCCATCCAGCCTGGGTGACAGAGCAAGACTCCTCCGTCTCAAAAAGCAACAACAATAACAACAAAAACAAATAGAATAAGTGAAGAGATTTGATCTTATAATTGGTTGGAATATCCCATAACACTGCACTGTTTATGTTTGCACAATAATGAAAGTTCATTGAGTACATGTTCACTGACATATATGGATCCTCAGAAATATATATCTTAAACATATATATAAGTATATATAAATGTATACTCATACGCATAACTCAGATGTATGCAAAGACTTCATATATCTAGAATGTATATTGTGTATATTCTATATAATATGTAATGGAGGTTGATAGACATAACCTTTTCTTGATGGTGTAGGTTAGAAATAACTGGTTCATTTAGGGTAGGGCAGATTTCACTTGCACTGATATGGACAAATCAGTGTTAATGACAGAATGCAATAGAGTCATCCTGCTATGTAAACAGAAGCATAGATAACAAATAATACAAAATATGATAAAAGTTTACCTCATTCATAACATCATTTATCTGACCCTTTCCCGCAATTTATCTGGCCTATCTGCCACCATTTAATTAAAAAAATTACAGTGATTATATCATGACTGCTTTCAAATCTCACTGTACAACTCTAAAAACATACACTTATTTGATAGCCTTGAATTTCAGCAGAAAAGATAATACTTATAAGAGGTATAGACTTTAAAATATATCATATTTGTGCAGAATATTTTAAGTTATAAATATGTATGCATAAGGCCTAGTTGATGTAACATTAGTATAGATGCTACAAATGCAAGTTCATTAAAGAATATTAAGATATTCTTCCCTGTAAATCTAAGGAAGCAAAACAATGGGAAATTTCTCAAAGATCTAAAGCAGGAGATGAAATAGGGACAAACTGAGTGTTTGCTCAACCGTAATTGTGAAGCAATCAGTTTAATTTTCTCACAGTTGATTTTGTTTAATTAGGAGATGACATTAGCTAACTTTGCAGTTCTACATCGTTGCAAAAAGGAAAGAGGAGGTTTTGACATATTGTGCCTTTACTATTAAAGAAATATCATTCAGTGAGTTTTTTGTACACATTTCTATTTGTGTGGTTTTTTTCACTGAAAATAATGCTTTTAAATTTCAGAATACAACAGCTTAACTTATCACATAATAGAGATATACATATTGTATATCCCTTTTAAAATTAGTGCTAATGTAGCATGAGGGAAATGTAATTCAACAAGCTCGGAGCCCCGGCCGAGCTTCGGAGCCCCGGCCCAGCCCCGGCCGCGCACGCGCAGTGACGCGCCGGCCATGCCGGCGGCTGTTGTCGGGCCTCCAGCGGGCGGGGCCGTTGGCGGAGCAGAGCGGAGGCGCAGCCGGGCGGAGGGCCCACGAGGGCTCAGCCTTCCCGGTCAGCGGTGGTGACGGTATCCCAGAGTGCCAGAGAACCGTTGCTTTTCCGAGTTGCTCTTCTTCCAGGCTCCGTTGGTGGTCGGCATGGCCCGTGAGTGGGGGTGGGAAGCGGCGGCGAGCGTCCGGCGTGGGAGCCTAGCGCTGAGGCGCGGCGGGCGGGGGAGGCGGAGTCCGGCTGGAGAATCCCCCTGGGTCGCGCAGTGCGGGGATCCCCGCTTCAGTCGGCAGAGAGAGAGCTCGCGGGTGGTTCCGGTCCGGCTTTTCAGGCCGGACGGGTGCCTGCCCCTCAGGTGCGAGTTTGTGCGGTAAAGAACACACCCCGGAGATGTGGACACGGCCGCCCCAGGAGGGTCCTTGTTTGGAGGTACTTTATAGCTGATACCTCAAGTCTTAAGGCCTAATGAGGACCGGGAACTCCAGTGAGTCGCCTCCCTAGTTCTTTTGTTTGGCGCTCGCAGGTAGTAGCCGAATAAACAGGAGGCTTTAGAGCCGGTCCTAAATTTGATGTTCGTTTGTACCAGTCCTAGGTGTTAGGTCAGTCTGTTCTGCAAAATGAAAACAATGAAGCCTACCTTGCAGGGTTGTGGCTAGAATAAGGATGTAAAGGCCCACACTGCCTTTCGCAGACTTACCTTCAATCTGTTCAGTCTCCATCCACCCCTCTCCGCCTCTGCATGGGGATAAAGGTAACTCTCAAGTGATGGGCTGAACTTGTGATCTCTGTATCTAGCTTTCTCTTCCACCCACTCCCCTCAAAAGCCAGAACTTATTTTGGGATACCGGCCCAAGATTCGAATATCTGTTTTAAAATATCTGGTATTTATAGCTAGTGACCACCTAGATTGGTATGATAATACTCTTAAGTCTTTAAGTGTTTAAGCCACTTCCTTATTGTCAGATCTAGGAGCACCATCAATCTGTTACTCTGCTAGTTTATCTATGAAAACACAAACTAAAGATGCATTTAAATAAGGCCTGTTTATTGGAATTATTAATAATTTTGGAGATGGGAAAAGAGCATGACTGTTTGACTTTGTAGGTGGAAATCAACGAGAACTTGCCCGCCAGAAAAACATGAAGAAAACCCAGGAAATTAGCAAGGGAAAGAGGAAAGAGGATAGCTTGACTGCCTCTCAGAGAAAGCAGAGGTACGTGGTACTAATTTAATTCTAAAGTCACTGACGTTGTGATTGAAGCAACATTTTGGGCTGGGTGTGTTGCCTCATGCCTGTAATCCCGGCAGTTTGGGAGAGTCGGGAGAACTGCTTGAAGCCAAGAGTTTGAGACCAACTTGGACAACATAGCCAGCCCCTGTATCTACAAAATATTTTTTTAAATTGGCCAGGCATGGTAGCACATGGCTGTGGTCTCGGCTACTCTGGAGGCTGAGGCGGGAGAATCGCTTGAGCCCAGGAGGTTAAGGCCGCAGTAAGCTGCGATTGCACCACTGCACTCCAGCCTGGATGGCAGAGTTAGACCCTGTCTCAAAAAAAAAAAAAAAAAAAAAAAAAAAAGAAGGCCTCATTTTGGGGAACAGAAAGCATTTTGTTAAGCCCTTGGTAGAACAGGGCCTAATGATTTGTGCCAGGCGGACTAAAACCACGTGGGGTAGACATCCCAACATATAGATAAAAACGTAAAGCTCTGAAGCTATTATTTGTTTCACAGAGACTCATGCAGCTCCTCCACAACCATAAGAACTTTTTATAGGCTGGGTGCGGTGGCTCACGCCTGTAATCTCAGCACTTTGGAAGGCCAAGGTGGGTGGATCACCTGGGGTCAGGAGATCGAGATCAGCCTGACCAACATAGTGAAACCCTATCTCTACTAAAAATACAAAATTAGCTGGGTGCAGTGGCACATGCCTGTAATCCCAGTTACTTGGGAGGCTGAGGCAGGAGAATCGCTTGAAACCGGGAGGGGGAGGTTGCAGCGAGTGAAGATTGTGCCATTGCAATCCAGCCTGGGTACTGAGCGGGAAACTCTGTATCAAAAAAACAAAACAAAAAAAAAAAAACAACTTTATTCAGCAAAATAACATCTTCTATATGCAAAACACTGTGAGGTGCTAGAGTTACAACATTTTCAAAGTAGACAGCCTACCCAAACTACTCTGAATGACAAGGGACTCAATTATTAATATATAATGATAATAGTTCTCAAGAAGATACAAAAAAGTATATGCATAATAGCTAGCTGTGCTGATTTCTGAAGATCCATTGCATTGGAGAGAATTCATGTACATAGCCTTAATATATGACTATATGTGCCAATGTAAAACTGCTACAGAAATACTTTAGACTGCAGCTTAAGTAAAAAAAAGTACACTCATGTTTCTAAAAGAGCTAATCAAAGCTTAATTTTATTCTCAAATGATTTTGTCCATATGGAACTTGGAGGTTAAGCGAATAACTGACTGCATGTGCTTCAGTGTGGCTTGTTAGGGGTTCTCAATCCTGGCTGCACATTAGAATCACCTGGGAAACCTTGACAGCTACTCAAGCCTTGCGTTATGCTCAGTTTTGATTTTTTGTTTTTTTAAAAAATTGAATTACAATAGTTGTACATATTTTGGGGGTACATGTGATCTTTTAATACCTGTATGTGGGCTGGGTAGTCCCAGCCACTTGGGAGGCTAAGGCAGGAGAATCACTTGAACCTGGGAGGCGGAGGTTGCAGTGAGCCGAGATCCTGCCATTGCATTCCAGCCTGGGTGACAGAGTGAGACCCTGTCTCAAAAAAACAACAACAAAAAGAAACTGGCTTGGCGTGGTGGCTCATACCTGTTAGCCCAGCACTTTGGGAGGCCGAAGCGGGTGGATTACCTGAGGTTGGGAGCTCAAGACCATTCTGACCAACATGGAGAAACCCCATCTCTACTAAAAATACAAAATTAGCCAAGTGTGTGGCCGGGCGCGGTGGTTCACGCCTGTAACCCCAGCACTTTGGGAGGCCCAGGCGGGCGGATCACGAGGTCAGGAGATCGAGACCATCCTGGTTAACACGGTGAAACCCCGTCTCTACTAATAATACAAAACTTAGCCGGGCGAGGTGGCAGGCGCCTGTAGTCCCAGCTACTTGGGAGGCTGAGGCAGGAGAATGGCGTGAACCCGGGAGGCGGAGCTTGCAGCGAGCCGAGATCGTGCCACTGCCCTCCAGCCTGGGTGACAGAGCGAGACTCCGTCTCAAAAAAAAAAAAAAAGCCAACTGTGGTGGCGAACACCTGTAATCCTAGCTACTCGGCAGGCTGAGACAGGAGAATCACTTGAACCTGGGAGGCGGAGGTTGCGGTGAGCTGAGATCTCGCCATTGCACTCCAGCCTGGACAACAAGAGTGAAACTCCGGCCGGGCGCGATGGCTCATGCCTGTAATCCCAGCACTTTGGGAGGCCAAGGCAGGAAGATCACGAGGTCAGGAGATCGAGACCACGGTGAATCCCTGTCCGTACTAAAAATACAAAAAATTAGTCGGGCGCAGTGGCGGGCGCCTGTAGTCCCAGCTACTCGGGAGGCTGAGGCAGGAGACTGGCGTGAACCCGGGAGGCGGAGCTTGCAGTGAGCTGAGATCGCGCCACCGCACTCCAGCCTGGGCGACAGAGCGAGACTCCGTCAAAAAAAAAAAACCTTTATGTGTACAATGTGTAATGATCAAATCGGGGTAATTGGGATATCTCTATGCTCAAACATTTATCTTTCATCCAGTTCTGATTTAATTGGTCAGAGGTCGAGCATTAAAAAGCACCCTAGGTAAATTTTACTGTACTTAGGTTATGCCTTTTTTTTTTTTTTAAAGGCAGAGTCTTACTCTGTTGCCCATGCTGGAGGGCAGTGGCGTGATCTCGGCTCACTGCAACCTCCACCTCCTGGGCTTAAGCGATTCTCCTGCGTCAGCAATCCAAGTAGCTGGAATTGCAGGCGTCCGCCACCATGCCCAGCTAATTTTTGTATTTTTAGTAGAGACTGGGTTTCACCGTGTTGGCCAGGCTGGTCTCAAACTACTGACCTCAAGTGATCCACCCGCCTCGGCCTCCCAAAGTGCTGGGATTACAGGCGTGAGCCACCACGCTGGCCCAGTTATACCTTTTTTTTTTTTTTTGAATTTTTTTTTTATTATTACGCTTTAAGTTCTAGGGTATATATGCACAACGTGCAGGTTTGTTACATAGATATACATGTGCCATGTTGGTTTGCTGCACCCATCAACTCATCATTTACATTAGGTATTTCTCCTGATGCTATCCCTCCCCCAGCCTCCCAGCACACCCAGTTATACCTTAAACTGAACTTAAAACAGCTCCCAGGTGATTCTAATGTGCAGCCACTATTAAGAGTCATTGATAAATGAGATTAAAGACCTTAATTTAAGGCAAAGGTCCTGACACCTTTTTTTTTTTTTTCCCAGATATGGCGTCTTACTCTGTGACCCAGACTGGAGTGCAGTGCCACAGTCTCGGTTCACTGCAAGCTCTGCCTCCCAGGCTCAAGTGACCCTCCCACCTCAGCCTTCTGAGTAGCTGGGACTACAAGGGCACACCACCAAGCCCAGATAGTTTTTATATTTTTTGTAGAAACGGGGTTTCATCATGTTGTCCAGGCAGGTCTTGAACTTCTGGGGTCAAGTGATTTGCCCACCTCAGTCCCCCAAAGTGCTGGAATTACAGGTGTGAGCCACTATGCCCGGCCCTAACATTTATTATTAAAGTGATAAGCTTTGTCTTCAATTTCTGTTGACTCACATTAGAGTAAAAATGAACATGGTATGAATCAGTGACCCTGCAATAGTATTTTTATTGGAGAACCTAGTCTAGCTTGGTTCAGAAATTGTCATTGTTTACCAGATATGCACTCCTTATAAAATTCTATGCTAGACATTCTATATACATTATTCTTTATTCATCATAACTCTGAAAAATGGTATTAGCACTAATCTGTAGAATAGGAAACTGAGGCTCTGAACTTCAGTAACATTACTAAAGTTACACAGCAAGCACAACAGAGCTTGGTTTCAAATAGAGAAGTAACTGTCATGGTTCTTTTTCCACTGTACTTCATTTCTTTATAGCTATGTTTTTGTTTTTGTTTTAGTGAAAGCAAGTTTATTAGGAAAGTAAAGAAATAAATATTGGCTACTTTATAGGCAGAACAGCCTGTAGCTGTGTTATTTTGCCTTTCTTCTTTATTTTTATTTTATTTTATTTTATTTTATGTTTTTGAGACGGAGTTTCGCTCTTGTTGCCCAGGCGGAGTACAATGGCGCAATCTCAGCTCACCGCAACCTCCACCTCTCGGGTGCAAGTGATTCTCCTGCCTCAGCCTCCCAAGTAGCTGGGATTACAGGCATGCACCACCATGCCTGGCTAATTTTGTATTTTTAGTAGAGATAGGGTTTCTCCATGTTGCTCAGTCTGGTCTCAAACTCTCGACCTCAGGTGGTCCGCCTATCTCAGCCTCCCAAAGTGCTGGGGTTACAGATGTGAGCCACTGGCCTATTTTGCCTTTCTTCTATTCCCTTGTTTTTGCTATTGGCTTTACAGAAATATCTTACCATCATGGCTGTGGAAATCAGTTTAGCATTTCCTCAAAAAGTTAAAACAGGCCAGGCTCAGTGGCTTACACTTGTAAATCCAGCACTTTGGGAGGCCGAGGCGAGCGGATCAACTTGAGGCCAGGAGTTCGAGACAAGCCTGGCCAACATGGTGAAACCCTGTCTCTACTAAAAATACAAAAATTAGGTGGGCTTGGTTGCACATGCCTGTAATCCCAGCTACTTGGGAAACTGAGGCAGGAGACTCGCTTGAACCAGGGAGGTGGAGGTTGCAGTGAGCAAAGATTGTGCCACTGCACTGCAGCCTGGGCAACAGAGCAAGACTCTGTCTCAAAAAAATAAATAAAAAATTAAAAAGTTTGAAACATGAGGTTAATAAGTCAGAGTTGTGGGACTTTAACCAGAGCTGGTAGAGTGCTTGACACACAGTAGATGTTGAATGCATGGCCGTTTAGTCTGTTTTTAAAATATGGGTCCATGGACTCATGAATCACCTAACCCAGGTAGTCTGGTCATAGTTCACAGTTTATATGGCATGTGTCAGTTTGACTGGAGATGAGAAGGGTTAAGGGCTGGGCGCAGTGGCTCACACCTGTAATCCCAGCACTTTGGGAGACTGAGGCAGGCGGATCACAAGGTCAGGAGTTCGAGACCAGCCTGGCCAATATGGTGAAACCTCGTCTCTACTTAAAATGCAAAAATTAGTCGGGTGTGGTGGCGCATGCCTGTAGTCCCAGCTACTCAGGAGGCTGAGGCAGAAGAACTGCAAGCAGGAAGTGGAGGTTGCAGTGAGCCAAGATCGTTCCACCGCACTCCAGCCTGGGGGACAAAGCGAGACTCCGTCTCAAAAAAAAAAAAAAGTACCCTGAACATCCAGCTTTTCTTTATTGTAATCCAGTTTTAGTGACTAGCTTTTGGGCTTTTTTGCTTGTAAGAAACTGAAATCCTTCATAATATCTATGTTCTAGTCGTAGATACCAGTTAGGATACCTAGGAGAGTTCTTAAATGCCTCTTCTTTCAAGGAAAAAAATTAGAATGAATTAACTAGTTAACAACCAAGAGTAATAGCTATTATTTCTACATGTAGCTGCCTAATGTCACACACTTTTATATATTCATAGTGATTCCTTGTAACAACCTTGATACATATTGCCCGGATTTTGAAAGGGCTTTGAGGTTATTTGCCCAAGGTCATGATAACAGAGATGGTATTCAGAATAAGATCTGACTTCAAAGCCTTTCCAGTCTGTCTTTCCATTTTGTCTCCAGCCATGAAAATGGAAAGACAAAAAAGTTTATATCCTCTTTTAAATTGTCTTCTAATACACTGAATGGGTTATGTGTAGAAACCAAGTGAGAATATATAATTGGTTTTTCTGTAACAACTTATAGACTTTTCCCTCATTGTAGGGACTCTGAGATCATGCAAGAAAAGCAGAAGGCAGCTAATGAGAAGAAGTCTATGCAGACAAGAGAAAAGTGATGACTGGCTATTTGGAAAACCTGGGTGCTACTGCCAACTGGGTGTATCATAAGCTCTAAGATCAAGATTTTGTAGAGTGGACAGTCATTACATATGTTATAACTTATCCTTTAAAAACTATTTTAAACTTTATCCTTTCAGCTTTACTTAGTGCGATGTTTTAGAAGCAGTCTTCAAAGAATAAAACACTAACCATGCATGTGACATATTGGTGAACATTATTTTTATTATTGAACATTCATATATAATTTATTAGGTAATATGATCAGATAATAGGATCTCTTATATAATAAAGAATCTTTGTCATCAGCTTTGTTAACATAGTTTTTTTTTCCTCACAGTTTCTAAGGATAAGGATAAAATAGATCTTTGAAGTAAACTTAAATATATAATAGAAGTTAGGGTCCATTTGTATAATTTTGCTTTGAAATCAAGTTAAAGGGCCAGGTGCGGTGGCTTATGCCCACAATCCCAGCACTTTGGGAGGCCGAGGCGGGCGGATCACTTGAGGTCAGGAGTTTGAGACCAGCCTGACCAACATGATGAAACCTCATCTTTACTAAAAATACAAAAAAAAAAAAAAAAAAAAAAATAGCCAGGTGTGTGGTGGCACATGCCTGTAATCTCAGCTACTCGGGAGGCTGAGGCAGGAAAATCGCTTGAACCCAAGGCAGAGGTTGCAGTCAGCAGATATTGCACCACTGCACTCCAGCCTGGGCAACAAAGCAAGACTCTGCCTCAAAAAAAAAAAAAAATCAACTTACAAAGCTTGCTTGAACAATTTACAACAGATACTTCAAACCACTGGAATAGAAACTAAGTGGATGTAAACTGAGGTCTCAGTTCTACTTATAGCTTTAACATTTTTTGGAATGAGTACCATATTTTCTGTTCTCAGCCTCTTCTAAAACTTGAGTCTTGATGGTAGTTATAAATTTGGAAATATGTAACCTAGAGAAATTAAGGTTTGAGACCTTGCTGCACTCTGAAGTAAACACAAAACTATGTCAGAGAGAATAAAAATGCCATTGTAGTAGTAAATAGAATAACTTAAAGTATTCTACAAATACTTGATTTTTCACATAATGCAATTTAACAAATTTTTCTGATCACCCAATATGTCAACCACTATCTGAATGGACAGATCTTGAAGTTAGCCTAACACAATATCTTGTGATTTGTCTCTTACCAGTGGTACCACCCATAAATAGGCTAGAATTTTTTGTGTCTAATACTGAATTCGACAACCAGGAAGTTTTTTGGGTTTTTGTGGGGTGTTTTTTTTTTTTTTGAGACAGAGTCTTGCTCTCTCGCCCAGGCTAGAGCGCAGCAGTGCCATCTCGGTTCACTGCAACCTCCGCCACCTGAGTTCAAGCGATTCTCCTGCCTCAGCCTCCTGAGGAGCTGGGACTACAGGCGCCCGCCACCACGCCCGGCTAATTTTTGTGTTTTTAGAAGAGATGGGGTTTCACCATTTTGGCCAGGCTGGTCTCAAACTACTAACCTCAGGTGATCCACCCTTCTTGGCCTCCCATAGAGCTGGGATTACAGGCGTGAGCCATCCCACCCGGCTGAAGTTTTTTAGCCTGAGTTTCTATCTTCATATTAGCCTAGATTTTTCATTAAATTAAAACATTGTTCTGGATCTTTGGTTAACTTTAGTCTTCAGAATATTCTATGATGGTAGTCACAAAGGCAAAAATTAAGTAGCTTAAGTTACATTCTAATAAAAGAAATAATAAAGAAATCTGATTGTACCACAAAGATTCTTTGTGGGCCTGGTTTCTGTAATTCTGTCTCCAGAATTTCTACACAGACTAATAAGCCATAAGTACAAAAAAACTTTTCATGCTTTAAGCTCTTTTCTTTGCCTTTTTTTTTAAATGAATAATTTCTTTAGTTTATCCTGTGGAATGGAAGAACTTTAGACCTTTTAATTCTTATAAATCGAGGGAAAGCTACGTTTCCAAAATAAAATGGATATTAGAATAAGGAAGATCTCTAGTTTGTAATCAATCATTAGTACTTTTTTTTTTTTTTTTTTGAGGCAGGATCTCGCCTTGTCACCCCGGCTGAGTGCAGTGGCACGAACGTGGCTCACTGCAGCCTCAACCTCCTGGGCTCAAGTGATCCTCCTGCCTCAGTCTCGTCTCCCAAGCAGTTGGGACTACAGGCGCATGCCACCACGTCAGGCTGATTTTTATATTTTTGGTAGAGATAGGGGTTTTGCCATGTTGCCCAGGCTGGTCTCCAACTCCTGAGCTCAAGTGAGCCACCTTCCACCTCTGCCCAAAGTGCTGGGATTACAGGCGTGAGCCACCATGCCTGGCCATTCTTGATTAATTTTTATGGCATTTAATTAAATAAATTTATTGTTAAGAGGTTTGATTTTTAACTGCAATATGACCAGATGTTTCCTCAAAGCAGGCGGAAAAATTATCGGAGAGGAAGAAAATTAAGTCTAATTGTTGGAGTATATTGACACCTATCATGTGGTATATTGTAATATATATATATATGCAATACATTGACACCAATCATGACACCACCATGTGGTATAGTTAAGGTAACTAAAAGTAGCTGAACTTATAAAGAGGGAAACAGGTCAATTATAGGATACTAAGGGAAAATACAGGTGAATAGCTTTTTTTTTTTTTTTTTTTTTTTTTTTTTTTGAGACTGTGTCTTGCTTGCTCTGTTGCTGAGGCTGGAGTACAGTGGCACAATCTCGGCTGACTGCAACCTCTGCATCCCGGGTTCAAGCAATTCTCCTGCCTCAGCCTCCCAAGTAGCTGGGATTACAGGCGTGCACTACCACACCCAGCTAGTTTTTTTGTATTTTTAGTAGAGACAGGGTTTCACCATGTTAGCCAACCTGGTCTCAAACTCCTGATCTCAAATGATCTGCCTGCTTCGGCCTCCCAAAGTGCTGGGATTACAGATATGAGCCACCATGCCCATCCCTGGAGAATAATTTTAATTATTATTATTATTATTATTATTTTTTTTTTTTTTTGAGACGGAGTTTCGCTCTTGTTGCCCAGACTGGAGTGCAGTGGCGTGATACTGGCTCACCGCAACCTCTGCCTCCCGGGTTCTCCCACCTCAGCCTCCCGAGTAGCTAGGATTACAGGCATGAGCCACCACGCCCGACTAATTTTGTGTTTTTAGTAGAGACGGGGTTTCTCCATGTTGGTCAGGCTGGTCTCGAACTTCTGACCTCAGGTGATCCGCCCACCTCGGCCTCCCAAAGTGCTGGGATTACAGGCATGAGCCACCACGCCCAGCCTTAGGAGAATGATTGTAAAAAGTAAATTCATGTAATGATTTTATTTAGTTTGGATATTGTTAGGGCTTGTTGCTAAAGAAAGATAAAATTATTAGGTGAGATAGTACCAGATTTAGAATATAATTTGGAAAATACCAAACTCCATGGAACCCTCCCTTTAAACATCAAAAATCGTATTTTGCATCATTCTTAGGAGGTAGTGCGTTATCATTAGCAATTTTCATTAAGTCCTGCTGAAAATGAGAAGCAGCAGCCATTACTGCCCAAGATACACTGTGGTCAGTTTTATCAGTTACTTTTTTTTTTTTTTTAAACAGAGTCTCGCTTTGTCATCCAGGCTGGAGTGCAATGGTGCGATCTCCGCTCACTGCAACCTCCACTTCCGTGCCTGGCTAATTTTTTGTAGTTTTAGTAGGGATGGGGTTTCACCATCTTGGCTAGGCTGGTCTCGAACTCCTGATCTCAAGTTATCCACTCGCTGGCCATCAGTCATTTATTTTTGAATGCCTCTTCTATTAGTAGCATGTGTAAGAAATTGTGATCCATTTATCAAACTAGCCAGTTTTTGAAAATAGGGCTAAAAGGAAACGTTGATTTCTGACATTTTCCAAAAACTTAAAAAATTTTTATATAGGCTGGGCACAATAGCTCACGCCTGTAATCCCAGCATTTTGGGAGGCCGAGGCAGGTGGGTCATTTGAGCTCAGGAGTTTGAGACCAGCCTGGGCAACACAGAAAAACCTCATCTCTACCAAAAAAAAAAAAATTAGGTGGGTGTGGTGGTGCACGCCTGTAGTCCCAGCTACTTGGGAGGCTAAAGTGGGAGGATCACCTGAACCCAGAAGGTCAAGGCTGCAGTGAGCCGAGATTGCACCACTGCCCTCCACCCTGGGTGATAAGAGTGGGACCCTGTCTCAAAACATACACACACACACACACACACACACACACACACACACTCTCTCTCTCTCTCTCTCTCTCTCTCTCTCTCTCTCTCTCTCTCTCAAAAACACTTGGTCTGTTATTTTTACGAAATTGTCAGTCATAGTTATCTGTTAGACCAAAGCTGAGTAAGAACATTTATTACATTGCCTCCTACAACTTCATCAGCTAATGTATTTGCTATATAGCAATTACATATTGGAATATATTATCTTTAGAGATGGCCAAGTCATAAAACTGTCACTGAGAAAAGGAGAATGACAATGTGTATGCTCAAATGTACTTCCCTATAAATTTCCAAAAGACATGAAACTTACTACAGGTTTGTTTTTTTCACACCTTCACTTCTTAAAAACAAAAAAACTTTTACATAGCAGTAACTAATGCACATTAAAAGTTTATAAATAGCCTGCTATTGGATCATTTGCTTGGAAAAGTTGAGATTTTCAAATTTGATTATAACATAACTTTTGTAGAAATACACGGCCAGGTGCAGTAGCTCACATTTGTAATCTCAGCACTTTGGGAGGCTGAGGTGGGAGGATCGCTTGAGGCCAGGAGTTTGAGACCAGCCTGGGCAACATGACAAAACCCCATCTCCTCAAAAAGCACAAAAATTAGCCAGATGTGGTGGTGCACACCTGTAGTCCCAGCTACTTGGGGGACTGAGGTGGAAGGATGGTTTGAGTCTGGGAAGTTGAGGATGCAGTGAGCCAAGGTCATGCCACTGCACTCCAGCCAGGGTGACAAAGTGACACCCTGTCTCAATATAATAATTTTAAAAAGGTGCCTGTAATCCTAGCACTTTGGGAGGCCAAGGCGGGCGGATCACGAAGTCGGGAGTTCAAGACCAGCCTGGCCAATATGGTGAAACCCGTCTCTACTAAAAATACAAAAATTAGCCAGGTATGGTGGTGTGTGCCTGTAATACCAGCTACTTGGGAGGCTGAGGCAGGAGAATCGCTTGAACCCGGGAGGTGGAGATTTCAGTGAGCCGAGATTGCACCACTGCACTCCAGTCTGGGTGACAGAGCAAGACTTCATCTCAAAGAAATAAATAAATAAAAAACAAGGCCGGGCATGGTGGCTCATGCCTGTAATCCAGCACTTTGGGAGGCTGAGGCTGAGGTGGGCAGATCACCTGAGGTCAGGAGTTCAAGACCAGCCTGGCCAACATGGTGAAACCCCGTCTCTACTAAAAATACAAAAATTAGCCAAGCGTGGTGGTGGGCGCCTGTAATCCCAACTACTTGGGAGGCTGAGGCAAGAGAATTTCTTGACTCTGGGAGGCAAAGGTTGCAGTGAGCCGAGACTGCACCACTGCACTCTAGCCTGAGCAACAGAACAAGACTCTGTCTCAAAAAAAAAAAAAAAAAAAAAAAACATACAAACCGAATTTCCATTCCACATACTACTCTTGCTGTTTTACCACTTGGACAAGACTGCTTGCTGGTACATAAGTTCTGGAACACTTCCTTGCAGCAGTCTGGCTGAGCCTTGGTATTTAAAAGAAATTTACCTACCAGCCTGGCTATAATTGACATAATCCTATTAAATACTTGCCTTTTATGAACATATATCACATGACATAAGTTTTTGTCAAATACTTTTTTTTTTGGTCAAAGACTGTAGCCTTATACCACTCAAGGGGGCTGTTAGGGTAGCTTATGAATGGATATTTCATACAGAGTTACGTATTTAACCCATTTCCTGTTTAGAAAATAAAAGTGGCCAGGCGCCGTGGCTCACGCCTGTAATCCTAGCACTTTGGGAGGCCGAGGTGGGTGGATCACGAGGTCAGGAGATCGAGACCGTCCTGGCTAACATGGTGAAACCCCGTCTCTACTAAAAATACAAAACATTAGCCGGGCATGGTGGCAGGCGCCTGTAGTCCCAGCTACTCGGGAGGCTGAGGCAGGAGAAAGGCATAGACCCGAGAGGCGGAGCTTGCAGTGAGCCGAGATCATGCCACTGCACTCCATGCACTCCAGCCTGGGCGACAGAGTGAGACTCCGTCTCAAAAAAAAAAAAAGAAAAAAAGAAAAAAAAAGTGCAGCTGGCTGCCAGCGCTCATTTAATTTTACATAAACACACTCTGAGGTTGACGCAAATTAATTTTCAATGTGAAAATACACAAACTGTTCTTAGAGTTATTTCTAAACAGAACTTGTCTCTAATCCTAATATAATGGAAATGTATATAATGTTACATTAGGATTAGAGGCAAGAGTATTCTTGGGGCAAACGGGAAATGGGTTAGTATATACTTGAAGTAATATAACCACATCTAACCTGATTTCATGATATATTGGAATTTTTGGTTGCAAGCAACAGGATCAGATTAATGAACTTACTGATAAAAATCTTATTTGAAAGAATGAGAGACTCCAGAGTCATGGAAAAGTTGAGGACTCAAGGCTTTGGAAAGGTCAAGAATTGTAACAGTTTCAGGTATCTTAAGAGTAGGTGTTATGAGGTGTTTGTTTTTGTTTTTTTTTCTTACAGTGCTGATATCAGGTTGAACTTCTGACATGTATATTTAGTTTTTATGTCACTTGGAGTGCCTCCAACTGAAGTTACATGGGTTAGGTACCCATCCCTCAGCAAGAGGAGGGCAAGTTGATGGTAAAACCAACTCTAGTAAGGAGTAGGTGGTCCCCTGTATTAGTCCGTTCTCATGCTGATAATAAAGACATACTCGAGACTGGATAATTTATAAAGGAAAGAGGTTTAATTGACTCACAGTTGTGTATGGCTGGGGAGGCCTCAGGAAGCTTACAATCATGGCAGAAGGGGAAGCAAATACATCCTTCTTCACATGATGGCAGGAAGGAGAAGTGCAAAGCAAAAGGGGAAAAGCCCCTTATGAAACCATCAGATCTCCTGAGAACTCACTCACTATCATGAGAACAGCATGAAGGTAACCACCCCCATGATTCAATTACCTCCCACCAGGTCCCTCCCATGACACATGGGAATTATAGGAGCTACAATTCAGGATGAGATTTGGGTTGGGGACACAGCCAAACTATATCATCCCCCAAAAAATTTAGGGTTCTTTGCCAAAAGGAAGGGAGAATGGATGCTGAGCAGACTAAAATAATATATTTTAATCCCTCTTATTGAAAAGCTAAGACTAAATTTTTAAAATTGTATGTTTTTGTTTTTTTGAGACGGAGTGTCGCTCTGTCGCCCGGCTGGAGTGCAGTGGCGCGATCTCAGCTCACTGCAACATCCACCTCCCGAATTCAAACAATTCTCCCACCTCAGCCTCCTGAGTAGCTGGGACTACAGGAGCATACCACCATGCCCAGCTAATTTTTGTATTTTTAGTAGAGATGAGGTTTCACCATATTGGTCAGGCTGGTCTCGAACTGACCTCAGGCAATCTACCCACCTTGGCCTCCCAAAGTGCTGGGATTACAGACATGAGCCACCACGCCCAGCTAATTCTGTATTTTAAGTAGAGACGGGGTTTCACCATGTTGGTCAGGCTGGTCTCGAACTCCTGACCTCAGGTGATCCGCCAGCCTTGGCCTCCCAAAGTGCTGGGATTACAGGCGTGAGCCACCGAGCCTGGCTGTATTTTTAAATACAAAAATTTGCCAGGTATTGTGATGGGTGCCTGTAATCTCAGCTACTCGGGAGGCAGAGGCCGGAGAGTCACTTGAACCCAGGAGGTTGCAGTGAGCTGAGATCACACCACTGCACTGCAGCCTGGGTGACAGAATGAGACTCCATCTAAAAAAAGAAAAAAATGTATTTTTTAAAATACATGATATGGCAAATCATAAAGGTGGTAAGCATCTGAAGTGTGAGAAATAATCATGCAGCTTATGCAGTTTTTGTCTCTACCAATCTTTCAAACCCTCAAACTGCAATGCTTGCTCATTATAGAAAATCTGGGAAAATACAGTAAGTTCTAAATTTCCATAAATTCTAAATAGCATCTCTTTGAAAACTAACTCCTTGGGCATTTATCCCAGTGAAATGATAATAAACAGCCAGCATTTGAAATGTATATTTCAATGACTCGTATATGAATACTATGTTCAGATCACAATAAAGGACATTTCCAGCACCCTCTTAGATAATGCCTCCCATCTGATTATCACCATAGATTAGTTTTGCCTGTTTTTGAATTTTTTGTAAATGGGATCACACGGTATGTGCTGTAGTGAGCCTAGCTTGATTTGCTCAACGTTACGTCTAAAAGAATTCTCTATTTTGCTGCTATGCAGCAGTTCAGCCTTTTTCACTGTTGTGTAGCATTCTGTTATATGAATATACCATAATTTAGTTACTCTACATTTCATGGACCTTTGAATTGCTCCCACTTTGGGGCTGTTATGAATAATGCTACCGTAACATTTTTATATATCTTATGATGGTCTTAAACACGCTATCTACTGAGTATATGCCAGGAATGGAATTGCTGGGTCATAGGGTGTGTGTCTATACACACACATACACACATTTTTTAGTAGGTACCATCAAACAATTGCATTTTTGTTGTTTTTGTTTTAGTTTGTTTTTAATGACCATACCATTTTACCACCAGCAATAAAGGAAGGTTCCATTGCTCCATACCAGCATTAGGTATTATCAGTCCTTTTATCTTTAACCATATTGGTGGGAGGTAGTGGTATCTCATTGTAGTCTTAATTTACTTCCATATACTTAATTTAAATACACTCAATTTATATACACACACGTATACTCTCTCAGCCTTCAGTAAGCCAGTCCCATTCCCCTGAACTAACCAATGTTAATAATGGTATACTTCTCTCAGTGCTCATGCAAACATGCATACACACACATACACATAAATAAGGGGTGTGGGAATGTATTTGATTCTGAGAGCTGCTGTAACAAATTACCACAAACTTAGTGGCTTAAAACAACAGAAATATTTCTGTTCACAGTTCTGGAGGCCAGAAATCTGAGAGCAAGATGTCAGCTGGGCCACACCTCCCTCTGAAGGCTCCAAGGGAGAATCCTTGCTTTCCTCTTCCAGCTGCTGGTGGCTCCAGGTATTACTTGGCTTATGGCAGCATAACTCCTATCTCTGCCTTTGTCTTTGTGGTCTTCTTTTCTGTCTTCTTCCCTTCTTTTTATGAGGACTTTTGCTGTTGGATTTAGGTTCCATTCTAACCTAGGATGATCTCATTTGGAAATCCTTAATTTCATCTACAAAAACTGTTTTCCCAAATAGGTCACATTCACGCATATCAGATGGACAGATGTATCATTTTGGGGTCCACCATTCAACCCACTACAAGGAGTTTTTTAAACAAAAATAGGAAACTTAGATGTAACTTAGCACTTTTTTTTTTTTTTTTTGAGATGGAGTCTCACTCTGTCACCAGACTGGAGTGCAGTGGCGCCATCTCAGCTCCATGCAACCTCTGCCTCCTGGGTTCAAGCAGTTCTCTTGCCTCAGCCTCCTGGGTAGCTGGGATTACAGGCACGCGCTGCCACACCCAGGTAATTTATTTATTTTTTTTTTGAGACAGAGTCTCGCACTGTTGCCCAGGCTGGACTGCAGTGGCGTGATCTCTGCTCACTGCAACCTCCGCCTCCCGGGTTCAAGCGATTCTCCAGCCTCAGCTTCCTGAGTAGATGGGATTACAGGCGCCTGCCACCACGCCCAGCTAATTTTTTGTATTCTTAGTAGAGATGGGGTTTCACCATGTTGGCCAGGCTGGTCTCCATCTCCTGACCTCGTGATTCACCCGCCTCGGCCTCCCAAAGTGCTGGGATTACAGGCGTGAGTCACAGCCCCCGGCCATAATTTAGCACTTTAAAAAATAATAGCCATGTTGGGCCAGGCGTGGTGGCTCATGCCTGTAATCTGAGCACTTTGGGAGACCAAGGCGGGTAGATCCCTTGTGCCCAGGAGTTCAAGACCAGCCTGGGCAACATGGCGAAACCCCATTTCTACTAAAAATACAAAAATTAGCTGGGGCGAGGGGATAGGCCGAGTTCCGGGTGTAAGGGGGCCATTAGGGAGAGCAGAGCGAGGCAGCTGATCTTCCGGATTGGGGGCCTTGCCCGGAAGCTGGACCTCACGGAGATGAAACGGAAGATGCACGAGGATATGATCTCCATACAGAACTTTCTCATCTACGTGGCCCTGCTGCGAGTCACTCCATTTATCTTAAAGAAATTGGACAGCATATGAAGATTGGACATCACATGTGAATGCATGATATGAAGAGCCTGGTTACAGTTTCTACTGTTCTCTGCAAGTAAATAGGCCCAGAAAGGTATAAGAGACTCTTTGAATGGACATAAAAATTCTGCTTGTTAAGAACAAGTTGAGCTCTGGTAACTGATCTTAATAGCTAAAATATAAAAATATTTGGGAAGTCTGAAATGAGGTCTCCTGGCCCTGGTGTGCCCTTAATGCCTGTGACAGTTGGCCTCTGTGAATATTGGTATAATTGTAAATAATGTCAAACTCCATTTTCTAGCAAGTATTAATAATTAAGGGAAGTATGTCTGAAATGGCACTGTCTTGTCAGTCATTTCTGTTTACCCTTCTGTCTGGAGTGTATTTGTGAAGAGTCCCTTATAACTTATGTTTTATGGACATCAGCACATAACCACAATGACATTGAAGCACAGGATCATTAGTCTATATTTTATTTTATTATTTTATTTATTTATTTATTTATTTTTGAGATGGAGTCTTGCTCTGTCGCCCAGGCTGGAGTGCAGTGGCACAATCTCGGCTCACTGCAAGCTCTGCTTCCCAGGTTCACGCCATTCTCCTGCCTCAGCCTCCCGAGTAGCTGGGACTACAGGTGCCCACCACCACACCCGGCTAATTTTTTGTACTTTTAGTAGAGATGGGGTTTCACTGTTTTAGCCAGGATGGTCTCGATCTCCTGACCTCATGATCCACCCGCCTTGGCCTCCCAAAGTGCTGGGATTATAGGTGTAAGTCACCATGCCCAGCCCGTTAGTCTATATTTTTAAGTAAACATACCAATTAAGAAAGAAGCCAAAAACCAAAATTAGCCAGGTGTGGTGGCACGTGCCTGTAGTCCCAGCTACTTGGGAGGCTGAGGTGTGAGGATCACTTGAACTCAGGAGGCAGAGGTTGCAGTGACCCAAGATGGTGCCGCTGCACTCCAGCCTGGGTGACAGAGTGAGACCCTGTTTCCACAAAAAGAAAAAAAAAATAGCCGTGCCTGTACTTCAGTACTTACAAATTTAACTTTAGTATAGATGTACAGTAATTTATTCAATCATTTCCTTACTCATAGACAATTAGGATGTTGCAACTTTTGCCACTACAAACAATTCTGCGATGTGGATTATCGTACTTATTCCCATTTATTGGTGCTTTCATTTCTATAAGAATGGATTTTTAAAGATAGAATTCCTTGGGAATAGTTATGTCAAAGCCAAATATAATATAGAGACAAATCTCTAAAAACATTTTATTTGGTAAGCAAGAGCTGCAATTCATGGCATACACACAGACCGGGCTGATCATTGGTATGATCAGGAGAATAAAGGGAAGGTTGCGGCCAGGTGTGATAGCTCATGCCTGTAATCCCAGCACTTTGGGAGGCCGAGGCGGGCAGATCACCTGAGGTCAGGAGTTTGAGACCAGCCTGACCAACATGGAGAAACTCCGTCTCTACTAAAAATACAAAATTAGTTGGGCATAGTGGCGCATGCCTGAATCCCAGCTACTCAGGAGGCTGACACAGGAGAAATGCTTGAACCCGGGAGGTGAAGGTTGCAGTGAGCCGAGATCGCGCCATTGCACTCCAGCCTGGGCAACAAGAGCAAAATTCCATCTCAAAAAAAAAAAAGAGAAGGTTCCGGGTTTTATGAGAAAGAACAGTATTACATACTGTTTTGGAAGAAAGCTCATTCACACTAGAGCTTGTGGGAGCTAGCAAGCTCTGATTGGTGAGCGATGGTGGTAGGTAAAACCAGTCTTAGAGTCATGGCAGTTCATTTTAGCAGCTATTAGGTAAAACTGGTCTTAGGGATACAGAAGGCTGGTTCAGCAGTTGGACTTGTGGAAAATTTAATTCTTGAAGCAGATGCTGTGTGCCCCGAATGCTTCTTCCCCCTGGCCCTTCAACTCTGATTTAGTTGAGTATTTCAAGAATGACCCAATTTATGTAATCAACTTTCACAGGTATACATGTCTTAAACTTTAAACAGATGTTTTGGGTTTTGTTGTTGTTGTTTTTGAGACGGAGTCTCACTCTGTTGTCCAAGCTGGAGTGTAGTGGTGTGATCTCGGCTCACTGCAACCTCCGCCTCCAGGGTCAAGTGATTCTCCAGCCTCAGCCTCCTGAATAGCTGGGATTACAGGCGCCCGCCACCACGCCCAGCTAATTTTTGTATTTTTAGTAGAGATGGGGTGGGGTTTCACCATGTTGGCCAGGCTGGTCTTGAACTCCTGACATCAAGTGTTCTGCTCACCTCAGCCTCTGAAAGTGCTGGGATTACAGGCGTGAGCCACTGCGCCCGGCAGTCTTTCCTTCTTTTTTTTTTTTTTTTTTTTTTTTTTTTAATGACATGGGGTCTTACTTTATTACTCAGGCTGGTCTCAAACTTCTGGCCTCAAGGAATCTTCCCACCTTGGCCTCCCAAATTGCTGGGATTACAGGCATAAGTCATCATGCCTGGCTACAAACAGATATTTTCAATAAGAGGATAAAAGTTCATTTCCCCATACTTTGCTAACATCAAATGTTATTAATTCCTAATAGTTTTGCCAAACTGAGAGGAAAATGGTATGTTAGTTTTTCTGGGTTTTCTTTCTTTTTAATTTTTTTTCTTTTTTATTCATCGCAACACTATTCACGATTTTTTTATTTTTTATTTTATTTATTTATTTATTTTTTTTTGAGACAAGGTCTCCCTATGTTGCCCAGGCTGGTCTTGTACCCCTGGGCTCAAAGGATCCTCCTGCCTCAGCCTCCCAAAGTGCTAGGATTACAGGCATGAGTCACCACGCCTGGTTCACAATTTCTTTTTGTTTTTACCAAAGGCAGGTATATTCCTGAAATTTTTTGTTTTTTTGTTTTTTTTTTGAGATGAAGTCTCACCCTGTCACTCAGACTGGAGTGCACTGGCACGATCTCAGCTCACTGCAACCTCCGCTTCCTAGGTTCAAGCGATTCTCCTGCCTCAGTCTTCAAAGTAGCTAGGATTATAGGCGCCGCAACCATGCTCAGCTAATTTTTGTATTTTTAGTAGAGACAGGATTTCACCATGTTGGCCAGGGTGATCTCAAATCCTGACCTCAAGTGATCCGCCTGCCTCAGCCTCCCAAAGTGCTGGGATTACTGGCATGAGCCACCGTGCCAGGCCCTGAAATGTTATCTTAGTTATTAATTTGCAATTCCTTGGCTCTAGAGGTTGGGCATCTTCTCAGATCTCTAGTGGACATTTGGATTTTCTTTTTGGTGAACTGTCCAGTTTTTCTCTCTGCTTTACAATCTTTATTATATGCAATCTTCACATGTAGGTACTACCATTTTTTTAGTTTGTTTTTGAAACAGCATATTGCTCTGTTGCCCAGGCTGGAGCACGGTGGCAAAAACATGGCTTACTGCAGCCTTTGACCTCCTTGGCTCAAGTACTCCTCCTGTCTCAGCCTCCTGAGTAGCTGGTACCACAAGCCCATACCACCATGCCCAGCTAATTTATTTTTGTAGAGATGGGGCCTGACCATGTTACTTGGGCTCAAATGATCCTCTCCCACTCAGCCTCCCAAAGTGCTAGGATTACAGGCATGAGCCACCATACTTGGCCCTTTTTTTTTTTTTTTTTTTTTTTTTTTTTGAGACAGAGTCTTGCTCTGTCTCACAGGCTGGTGTGCAGTGGCACGATCTCAGCTCATTGCAACCTCCACCTCCCAGTTTCAAGTGATTTTTGTGCCTCAGCCTCCCTAGTAGCTGAGATTACAGGCATGCACCACCATGCCTGGCTGACTTTCATATCTTTAGTGTTGCCATGTTGGCTAGGCTGGTCTCAAACTCCTGACCTCATGTGATCCACCTGCCTCGGACTCCCACAGTGCTGGGATTACAGGTGTTAGCCACCACCCCGACATTATTTGAAACTTTTATTTTATCATGAGAGAGTTCCAGGAGTCAACTGAAGAGAGATTTTTGGTATGAAAATTACATATGCAAAAAGACTGATTCCAGTACATGAAATTAAATTCAACATTTACATTAAATGCCTTCAAATATGGTAAAATGGTTTCTTTTGGCAGTTTACCTCATTATGTTTTGAATGATTTGTCTATCATATGAAATAACTTTTATAAATATAGTAACTCAGGCCTGGGCACAGCGGCTCAAGTGGGAGGACTGCTTAAGCAACCGAGTTTGAGACCAGCGTGGACAACATGGGGAGACCCCTTCTCTCCCAAAAAATAGCTGAGCATGGCAGCGCACTGCTAAAGGAAACAGAGTTTCTTTGGTGGGTGATTAAAATGTTCTGGAGTTAGATAGTAGTGATGGTTGCACAACCTTGTGAATATATTAAGGTTTCCGCTCTATCTACCATTCAATTGTACTCTCTAAAACGATTAATTCTATAGTATATCAATTATATCTCTAAATAATAAAAACAAAAAGAAATGGCTGGGTGCGGTGGCTCATGCCTGTAATCGCAGCACTTTGGGAGGCTGAGGCGGGCGGATCACAAGGTCAGGAGTTTGAGACCAACCTGACCAACATGGCAAAACCCAGTCTCTACTAAAAATACAAAAATTAGCTGGGTGTGGTGGCACACGCCTGTAATCCTAGGTACTCGGGAAGCTGAGACAGGAGAATCACTTGAACCCGGGAGGCAGAGGTTGCAGTGAGCCACTGCACTCCAGTCTGGGTGGCAGAGCGAGACTCCGTCTCAAAAAGAAAAAAATTAAAAAACAAAAAGAAACCTGGTTCTATATTTTGTTTAAATTTATTTTTTTAACCATCATGTAATATGTCCAGGTAATTTGTTTAAATTTTGACATCAAATGCAATTGTGAGAATTTTTATGATTCAGAAAAATCTAAGCAAGCTTTATAAAAACATACTTTTTTTTTTACTTTTTTTTTTTTTTCTGAGACACAGCCTCACTCTGTCGCCCAGGCTGGAGTGCAGGTTTTCATGTTTATCTGTGAGATGTACCTTTGGCACATTACTTTCCTGACATGAGATTTAAATTTTTTTTTTTATCTTGTGACAATTTAACTTTTTTGACACATAAAAATTGTACATATTTATTTGTTTGAGATGGAGTCGCACTCTGTCACTCAGGCTGGAGTGCAGTGGCGTGATCTTGGCTCACTGCAACCTCCGCCTCCCGAGTTCAAGTGATTCTCCTGGCTCAGCCTCCCAAGCAGCTGTCATTACAGGCCTGCACCACCACACCCGGCTGATTTTTGTATTTTTAGGAGAAACAGGGTTTCACCATGTTGGCCAGGCTGGTCTTGAAGTCCTGACCTCAAGTGATCCACCCACCTTGGCCTCCCAAAGTGCTGGGATTATAGGCATGAGCCACCGTACCAGACCCCTAAAAATTGTATATATTTAAGGTGTACCATTTGATGTTTAGATATACATTGTGAAATGATTACATTCCACATATTACCTCTACAGAGTTACCATTTTTGTACACTTGGTCAACATCATCCCATTCTCCCCTTCCTCCACAGATATTTCTTGTATACTATATAGAAGCCAAGGGTATTTTGGGGGAAGAGCTCAAAGTTCCTTTCGTGGAGTTAAAAATATATATATACTATGTACATATAAGCCATTTAGCAACCCTAGATGCTTAATAAAGAATACTGGAGGCCCGGTGTGGTGGCTCACACCTGTAATCCCAGCACTTTGGGAGGCCGAGGCGGTCGGATTACGAGGTCAGGAGTTCAAGACCAGCCTGGCCAACATGGTGAAACCCCATCTTTACTAAAAATACAAAAATTAGCCGGGTGTGGTGGTGGGCGCCTGTAATCCCAGCTACTCGGGGGGCTGAGGCAGAATTGCTTGAACCTGGGAGGCAGAGGTTGCAGTGAGCTGAGATCACGCCACTGCATTCCAGCCTGGGTGACAGAGCAATACTCTGTCGCAAAAAAAAAAAAGAATACTGGAGGCTGGGCGAGGTGGCTCACACCTGTAATCCCAGCATTTTGGGATGCCAGAGGCGGGCGGAATATCTTGAGCTCAGGAGTTCGAGACCAGCCTACACAATATGCTCCAAACGCCGCCTCTACAAAACATACAGAAACTAGCCGGGTGTGGTGGCGTGCCCCTGTGGTCCTAGCTACTTGGGAGGTTGAGGCGGGAGGATCGCTTGAGCTCGGGAGGTCGAGGCTGCAATGAGCCGAGATGGTGCCACTGCACTCTGACGACAGAGCGAGACTCCGTCTCAAAACAAACAACAAATAAGGTTGGGGGATCAAATATCTTCTAGTGTTTAAGGATCTGCCTTCCTTCCTGCCCCCATGTTTGTCTTTCCTTGTTTGTCTTTATATAGATCAAGCAGGTTTTAAATTCCTAGTAGGAGCTTACATTTACTTTTCCAAGGGGGAGGGGGAATAAATATCTACACACACACACACACACACACACACACACACACACACACACACACACTGGAGTTCGAGACGAGGCCTAAGCAACATGCCGAAACCCCGTCTCTACTAAATACAAAAAATAGCTGAGCTTGGTGGCGCACGCCTATAGTCCTAGCTACTGGGGAGGCTGAGGTGGGAGGATCGCTTGAGCCCAAGAAGTCGAGGCTGCAGTGAGCCGAGATCGCGCCGCTGCACTCCAGCCTGAGCGACAGGGCGAGGCTCTGTCTCAAAACAAACAAACAAAAAAAAAAAGGAAAGGAAATATAACACAGTGAAATGAAAGGATTGAGAGAAATGAAAAATATACACGCCACAAATGTGGGAGGGCGATAACCACTCGTAGAAAGCGTGAGAAGTTACTACAAGCGGTCCTCCCGGCCACCGTACTGTTCCGCTCCCAGAAGCCCCGGGCGGCGGAAGTCGTCACTCTTAAGAAGGGACGGGGCCCCACGCTGCGCACCCGCGGGTTTGCTATGGCGATGAGCAGCGGCGGCAGTGGTGGCGGCGTCCCGGAGCAGGAGGATTCCGTGCTGTTCCGGCGCGGCACAGGCCAGGTGAGGTCGCAGCCAGTGCAGTCTCCCTATTAGCGCTCTCAGCACCCTTCTTCCGGCCCAACTCTCCTTCCGCAGCCTCGGGACAGCATCAAGTCGATCCGCTCACTGGAGTTGTGGTCCGCGTTTTTCTACGTCTTTTCCCACTCCGTTCCCTGCGAACCACATCCGCAAGCTCCTTCCTCGAGCAGTTTGGGCTCCTTGATAGCGTTGAGTGGAGGCCCTGCCGCGACTTGGCAGTAGCTTATTTTGTTCACTCCTCTCTGGCTGGTGTGGGGGAGGTGGGGGCATTAGGCCAGGGTGAAGCAGGGGAACCACTTAGGAGTCTGTTAAGATGATCTGAACTTCAGAACAAGATGTTATTAACAGAGTGAAAGTATTTGGATTCTGGGTATATTTTGAAATCGGAGGCAACAGGTTTTTCAGATAGATTCGATAACGGAGGTTATCCTGAATAGTTGAAAAGATAAAGTTGCCTTTTGCTGAGGTGGGAAAGAGAAGATTGCCAGTAGAGCAGGTTTCTCAGGAGTTCAGTCTTGGGCATAGCATGGTAGGGGTGAATTTGGCTGGAGTGAGTTGGAGAGTAGGAGAAGAGAAATCCAAGGCAACATTTGACCAGCCTGGGCAACATAGTGTGACTCCGAGTCTGCAAAAATTAGACGGGTGTTGTGGTGCGCGTCTGTGGTCTCAGCTACCTGGAAGGTTCAGGCCTTGGAAGGCTCAGGGAGGTGGAGGCTGCAGTGATCTGTGATTGCGCCTCTGCACTCCAGCCTGGGCGACAGAGCCAGACCCTGTCTTAAAACAAAATAAACGGCCGGGCGCGGTGGCTCAAGCCTGTAATCCCAGCACTTTGGGAGGCCGAGGCGGCCGGATCACAAGGTCAGGAGATCGAGACCATCCTGGCTAACACGGTGAAACCCCGTCTCTACTACAAATACAAAAAATTAGCCGGGCGTGGTGACGGGCGCCTGTAGTCCCAGCTACTCGGGAGGCTGAGGCAGGAGAATGTCATGAAGCCGGGAGGCGGAGCTTGCAGTGAGCCGAGATCGCGCCACTGCACTCCAGCCTGGGCGATAGAGCAAGACTCCGTCTCAAATAAATAAATAAATAAATAAATAAATAATAAAAACATCGGTAGGCATATTTCAAGGAATTCTATTTAAAAAAAATTTTTTTAGAGACAAGTTCGCTCTCTGTGGCCCAGGCTGGAGTACAGTGGCATGATCCTAGCCCATGGCAGCGTTGATCTCTTGGCCTCAAGCGACCCTCCTTTGGAGTCGCTGGGCCTAAAGGAGTGAGCCACCACGAAATTTTATTATAAATGGAGGGTAGAGAAATTGGGCAATAAATGGAGGGGGAAGTGAGTTAAGAGGAATTTTAATTATGTGTGTGTGGTTTTAAAAGAGGGGGGTCTTGCTCTGTTGCCCAGGCTGCTGGGGTGCCAGTGGCGCAATCATGAATCACTACAGCCTTGGACTCCTGGCCTCAAGCTATCCTCCCACCTCTGCCTCCCAAAGTACTGGGATTACTAGTGTGAGCCACTGCACTAAGATAGGAGCAACATGTTTCAGCATGTTTGTGGGTTGATAGGAAAGATGAGAATGGGAAAGTTGATGTCGGAAAGAAGACAATGGCTAGAGCAATGTCCTAGAGTAGGTAAGAAGGGATGGATTTGGCCTTTGTTGGAAACATTAGCGGTTCTTTTGGTGACAGCTATATAGTTAACACATCTATGATACGTGAATGGGCAGATAGGATGGCAGGAGATTTTGAAAGTTCTCTTGATTCTTACTGTTCTCTTAGTGAAAGAAGCAAGGTTATCAGCTAGAAGCTGGGATGGGAGAGGAAAGAGAAGATGGGAAGTAGATAGTTCTTTAGAAGAGTGGGCAAGGGTTGGACTAGGGAAGTTTAGTGGAAATATTGCTAGGCAACATAAAGAGCCTACTTGAGATTCGTGGTCATGAGTTGAAGGAGACCAGACAGCAAGATTGTGTATGAGGGCACCCACAGAGTAAATGGAGAGTTGAAATTAATGCAGTTGTGATTTTACCACGTGGATATGAAGAAGTGAGGGGGAGAAGTACAAAGGAGTTCTCTTAATGATTGACCATGGAATTTAAGCTGGCTAAGAAAGGAAGTGAGAGGCCGGGCGCGGTGGCTCACGCCTGTAATCCCAGCACTTTGGGAGACTGAGGTGGGTGGATTACCTGAGGTCAGGAGTTTGAGACCAACCTGGCCGATATGGCGAAACCCCATCTCTAATAAAAATACAGAAAAATTAGCCGGGAATGGTGGCAGGTGCCTGTAATCCCAGCTACTCAAGAGGCTGTGGCAGGAGTATCCCTTGGACCCAGGAGGTGGAGGTTGCAGTGAGCCGAGATCACGCCACTGTACTCCAGCCTGGACGATATAGTGAGACTTCACCTCAAAAAAAAAAAAAAAGAAAGGAAGTGAGGATTTTAAGACCCTGAGAGACAGTTTAAAAAGTGGGAGGATCGGCCGGGCGCTGTGGCTGACACCTGTAATCCCAGCACTTTGGGAGGCCGAGTTGGGCAGATCACAAGGTCAGGAGTTCGAGACCAGCCTGGCCAATATGGTGAAACCTTGTCTCTACTAAAAATACAAAAATTAGCCGGGCATGGTGTCACGTGTCTATAATCCCAGCTACTCGGGAGGCTGAGGCAGAAAAATTGCTTGAACCTGGGAGGCAGAGGTTGCAGACAGCTGAGATCACTCCATTGCACTCCAGCCTGGGCAACAAGAGCAAAACTTTGTCTTTAAAAAAAAAAAAAAAAAAAGAATACAAAAATTAGCCGGGCGTGGTGGCGCGTGCCTATAATCCCAGCTACTTGGGAGGCTGAGGCAGGAGAATCAGTTGAACACGGGAGGCGAGGTTTGCAGTGAGCCGAGATTGCGCCACTGCACTCCAGCCTGGGCGACAGAGCAGGACTCCTCTTGGAAAAAAAAAATTAGCTGGGCATGGTGGCAGGTGCCTGTAGTCTCAGCTACTAGGGAGGCTGAGGCAGGAAAATCACTTGAACCCGGGATGTGGAGTTTGCAGTGACCCGAGATCGTGCCACTGTACTCCATCCTGGGCGACAAAATGAGACTCTGCCTCAAAAAAAAAAAAAAAAAAAAGTGGGAGGATCAATGTACTGCCAGTCCTAATGAAGTGGAATGATTGTCCCCATCAAATCACTAGTAGGAGTAAGTTGCAGAGCCTAGAAGGTGATGGTTAAGAGAGTGGGATTCTTGAAACTGCATTTATGGAGAGGTTGTGGTTATTGGTTATAATAAATAAATACAGTTGAAGTGAGTGAGTAGCTGAGATTTGGGGATGTATCAGTTCATTCTTACACTGCTACAAAGACATACCTGAGACCAGGTATTTATAAAGATAAGAGGTTTAATCAGCTCACAGTTCTGCTGCCTGTACAGGCTTCTCTTGTGGAGGCCTAAGGAAACTTACAGTCATGGTGGAAGGTGAAGGGGAAACAAGCACAGTCTTCACATGGTCAGCAGGAGAGAGAGAGAAGGGGGAAGTGCTACATACTTTAAAACAACCAGATCTTGTGAGAACGCTTATCAGGAAACAGCACTTGGGGATGGTGCTAAATCATTAGAAATCACCCCCATGATCCAGTCGCCTCCTACCATGCCCACCTCCAACACTGGGGATCACAATTCAGCATGAGATTTGGGTAGGAACACAGAGCTGCACCACATCAGAGGATGTACAAGATTGTGGTGGAGAGGAGTTTAGAGACCTGCAAATATAGGGTAATTGAAGGGATCATCTACATGGATATTTAAATCACCAAAAATTATGACAGGAGTAGTGTTGGAGAGAGAACTGCGATGTAAACATTAAGGAATGAGGAAGAGTGACTCGGTAGGCTGTAGGTGACTGCAATAGGAAACGATAATAGACTGTGAGTCTGGTGACAAGATTTTCCTTCTTTCTTTTTTCCCCCCCCCGAGACAGGGCCTCTTTTTGTTGCCCAGGTGGGAGTGCAGTGGCGCGATCACGGCTCACTACAACCTCCTCCCAAGCTCAAGGGATTCTCCCACTTCAGCCTCTCAAGTAGCTGGAACTACAGGTGCTGACCACCATGCCTGGCTACTTTTTGTCAGGATTTTCAAGGCTGGGAATTTTGAGAGGGGAATGGAGGAGAATAATCTGAAAGTGCAAGTAAGGAGCAGGGAAGATTTCTTTTTTCTTTTTTTTTTTTTTTTTGAGTCGGAGTCTGGCTCAGTCGCCCAGGCTGGAGTGCAGTGGCGAGATCTCCGCTCACTGCAAGCTCCGCCTCCCGGGTTCACGCCATTCTCCTCCTTCAGCCTCCCGAGTAGCTGGGACTACAGGCGCCCGCCACCACGCCCAGCTAATTGTTTTTTTGTATTTTTAGTAGAGACGGGGTTTCACCGTGTTAGCCAGGATGGTCTCAATCTCCTGACTTTGTGATCCGCCCACCCCGGCCTCCCAAAGCGCTTGGGATTACAGGCGTGAGCCACCGCGCCAGCCAGAGCAGGGAAGATTTCTTCCCCACATCTCCAGTAGGTACAGTGATATGAAGTGTGTGGAGGAGAAAAGAGGAAACATCTATCATTTGAGATGGCTGCGAAAGGAAAAGGCATCCTCAGGGAGCTAGATTTTACTTAGAGCAAGAAATGAAGGGATGATTCAGAGGTTAAAGAGTGGATTTTATGAATTACTCAAGGGAGCACAGTGGAAGTTTCAGGAAGTGGTAGGAGAAGGTAGAAGATGGCAGGGTGTTGGGAATAATTTGAGAAATCTGAGCTACTGGAAATGACTGAGAATCAGATATAAAGGCAGTCCTGGTGGTCCGTTCTGGCTGCCGTTGCTGTGTAACGAATCTGCCAAAACTTAGTGGCTTGAAACAACAAAGAACATTTTATTATCTCTCATTGTTTCTGTGGGTTAGGAATTTGTGAGAGCCGTGCTGGGCAGTTTTCGTGCGGCTGTCTCGTGGTTGCACCTACATAGTTGCTAGAGCTACAGTAGCTGGGGACTGAGCAGCTAGGGATTGGCAGGCTATCTCTTTTTTTCATGTAGTCTCATGAAGATTTCTTTATGTGGTTTCAATGTGTGGGCTGGTTTGGATTTCCTTATAGCATGGTGGCCTCAGTTGGATTGCTGTTTTGTGATCCTTTTCATCCCTCCTTGTCCTGTCCCCAGACAACCACTGATCTACTTTCTGTCACCATAGATTAGCCTGCATTTTTAAGAATTTTTATAAACGTGGAATGATAGAGTACCTTTTTTGTCACGTTTCTTTTATTTATCATAGCTATTTTGATTTTCATCCATTTTATTGCTGAGTAGTATCCCATTGCATGTATATACTATACTGTATTCATTCGCTTGCTTGTGAACATTTGGGCTTTTTCCAGTTTGGGACTGTTAACAAGTAGAGCCACTATGAATATTAGTGTATAAGACTTCATATAGCCAAGGCTGGCAGATCGCTTGAGCCCAGGAGTTTGAGACCAGCCTGGGAAACATGGTGAAACCTCTATTTTTATTTTAAAATCAAAAATTAAAAATTTTCTATAAAAAATTTTAAAGAAGACTTTGTATAGACATACGCTTTCATTTTTCTTGAGTGAATACTTAGGTCTCAGGGTAGATGTATTTTAAGTCTTTAAGGAGCTGTCAAACTCTTCCTCAAAGTGGTGGTTGTACCATGTTACTTTTTAATATAACAGAGATTAATTGAGCAAAGAAAAATTCAAAAGTTGGACAGCCCCCACAACTAAATAGGTTCAGAACAGCTCCCCCATTTTGCATTTTGACCAGCAATGTATGAAAGTTCCATTTGCTCAGTGTCCCTGCAAACACCTGGTATGGTCAGTCTTTTTAATTTTAGGCATTATAATAGATATAGTGGCTTCTTGTGATTTTAATTAGCATTTCCTAATGACCAGTGCTGCTGTTGATCATTTCATGAGTGTATTTGCCATCCGTATATCTTTTTTGGTGAAGTGTCTATTCAAATCATTTGGGTTTTTTTTTTGTTTGTTTTTTTTTTTTGGAGACAGTGTCTCACTCTGTCACCCAGGCTGTTGTGCAGTGGTGCAATCACACAGCCTACTGCAGCCTCCACCTCCTGCGCTCAGTCTTCTTGTCTCAGCCTTCTGAGTAGCTGAAATTACGAGCACACGCCACAATGCCTGGCTAATTTTTTAAAATTTTGTAGAAACAAGGTCTCATTATGTTGCCTGGGCTTGTCGTGAACTCCTGGGCTCAAGCAATCTTCCTGCCTCAGCCTCCCAAAGATTGGGATTGCAAGTATGAGCCACTGCACCCGGCCAACTTACCCATCTTTTAATTGAATTTTTTTGTTGTTGAGGTTTGAGAGTTCTTCATGTTTGCTGGGTACAATATCTTTATCAGATAGGTAACTTGCATGTATTTTCTCCCGGTTTACACTTTGGTTTTTCATTTTGTTAACAACGTCTTTTTAAGAACAGAAAATCTTAATTTTGCTGAAATCTAATTTTTCAGTTTTTTCTTTGATGGTTTTGAGAGAGGAGGTAAAAAAAGACTAGGTAAGCCGATAGTTAGACAGAGTCCTCGGTAGAACTTCCCTTCTAACAAAAAGCAGCCCAAGAAATCACTTCTCTTCTAACAAGGAGCAGCCTGGAAGATCGGGCTGTAAACATGTATAAGGAAGCAGCTCTGGCACAGAGGGGGAGCTTCCTGGGTAATCAGCAAGCTTCACATACGTAAGGTGGGTATGTGAAGTAAACACAGTATGTGAAGTAAACACAGTGGACCTTAGTACATACTCAGATAAGGAAGCTGGAAGCTTGCATGTTGTGAGTTGTTGGGGTTGCCTGCAGCTGCACGGAGAGAAAGGGGTACCTGGGGCCAGGCATGTCCACCATGGTGGCTCCACCTCCCCTTATTTAGCACATGCACAATAGGAAAGAGATAAGCAATGTGGAGTAGCTCAGGCCAAGGACCTGCCTGCATAATAAAAGGTTGGGGTGGGGGATGCCAGAGATTCACGCTCTGTGCAGATGGCAACACCTGGTCCTAACTGGTTTTTTGCTCCCTATGTGTAGATAAGCTACCCCCTTCCCATTAGCTCATTTATAAAAATGCTTGCATTTCACTGTGGAATGGGAACTCTTTTCAGGACCTCTCTCTGCAGGAGAGAGCTAGTCTCTTTCTTTTGCCTATTAAACTTCTGCTCTAGCCTCACACCCTTGGTGTGTCAGCGTCCTTGATTTCCTCAGCGTGAGACCAAGAACCTCGGGTGCCACCCCAGGCAACAAGGCCATTTCAGTTTGTTCTTTTGTTATAGGCAATCCATGATCACAGATTTTTCTCTCTTTTTTTTTTTTACACAGTTTAGAGTTTTAGTTTTACACTTAGGTCTGTAATCCATTTTGTATTAATTCTTATATGTGGCTCAGTGTAGGTGGAAATTTGGTTTGTTTTTGCATAAGGATTTCCAATAGTTTTACCACCATTTCTTGAAACTACTATGCTTTCTCTATTAAACCACATTTGTAACTTTAGTTAAAATCAGTCACATATATCACAGGGCTATTTCTGACTCTCAATTCTGTTACATTGTCTATTAGTGTATATTGATGTCAGTACTACACTTTTAATTACTATTGCTTCAGGGTATGTCTTGTAAACCAAAAATAAAATTATAGGCCCCCCCCGCCCCTGCACAACCAACTGAATGGACCCATCCTCTCAGCCAAGGGCATTCCAAAATTAACCTGAAAAACTAGTTCAAGCCATGATGGGAAGGGGGAGTTGGACATGTCTCATCACACCCTACTACCTTTTGGAATTACTGATAGAACAGACTCTTAAAGTCTGAAAAGAAACATTTACAACCTACCCTCTCTGAAGCCTGCTACCTGGGAGCTTCATCTGCATGATAAAACCTTGGTCTCCACAACCCCTTATGGTAACCCAAACATTCCTTTCTGTTGATAATAACTCTTTCAACTAGTTGCCAATTAGAAAATCTTTAAATCTTCCTATGACCTAGAAACCTCCCTACCCCCACTTTGAGTTGTCCTGCCTTTCCTGACAGAACTCATGTACATCTTACATATATTGATTGATGCCTCATGTCTCCCTAAAATGTATAAAACAAAGCTGTACCCCACCACCTTGGGGACATGTCATCAGGACCTCCTGTGGCTGTGTCATAGGAGCGTCTTTAACTTTGGCAAAATAAACTTTCTAAATTGATTGAAACCTGTCTTAGCTACTTCTGGTTTACAGTCTTAAAGTTAGATAATGTAAATTGTCCAGCTTTGGTTTATTTTTGTCCTTAGTAGTTCCATATAAATTTTAGAATCAGCTTTTCAATTTAATACACTACTTTCCTCTTAGATCCACAATTAAATATATTTGATGCTAACAATTCTGTTTTATGTTTTTCGTTTTTTTTTTTTGAGACAAGAGTTTCGCTCTTGTTGCCCAGGCTGGAGTGCAGTGGCGCGATCTTGGCTCACCACAACCTCCACCTCCCAGGTTCAAGCAATTCTTCTGCCTCAGCCTCCCGAGTAGCTGGGATTACAGGCATGCGCCACCACGCCCGGCTAATTTTGTATTTTTAGTAGAGACGGGGTTTCACCATGTTGATCAGGCTGGTCTTGAACTCCTGACCTCAGGTGATCCACCCACCTCGGCCTCCCAAAGTGTTGGGATTACAGGCGTGAACCACCATGCCTGGCCAGTTCTGTTATTTTTAAAACCCAAGTTTCCCTGGTCATATCTTGGTTGGATGAAGCGTATTTTCAATAGATTACCCTGGAAAGGCTAGTGAGTACGGTATTCTTCTACATTTTAGACTTTTCTTAGTCTTGCTACTTCAAGGACAGCTAGGCTGCATATAAAATTCTTGGCTCATACTTTTTCCCCATAAATTTCTATGAGAAAGTCTAATGATAACTGATTTTCTTTATTTTGTAACTTAGTCTTTTTGCTTAGAGGCTCTCTGAGGATGGGAGGGGGTTCTTCCTCCCATCCCTAGGAATTTTTCTTTTTTTTAAATTCCTAATCACTAGACCACCAGGAAGATTGTTTGTTTTGTTTTGTTTTTATTCTTCAGGGACCCCATTTATACATACGTTAAATAAATACTGTTTGCCAATGTATCAACCATTTTGCTTCTTATTTATTTTTGTTCCTTTGGTTCTTTTTCATGGCTTTGCTTTGGTGCTCCTTAGATTTTCAGTCAGATGTATTTGTCCTTGGGTACCTTGTAATCAGTATTACCTTTTCTTCTGTCGCTTTGTTTTCTGTTCGTTTTGAAATTACTTGTTTCCTGGTCTGGCAATAACAGTTGAGATATGAGGAGTTTGAGCTGCCATCTGTCTGTGTATCTTGCTTTAAGACTGCACTCTTCTATTGATATCACTGGCCTTGATTTTGTGATTTCTTTATTTCTTCAGGACCACCCTTCATTTTCTACTGTTTGCTTCCTTTTTTTTTGAGATGGAGTCTCACTCTGTCACTCAGGCTGGAGTGCAGTGATCTTGGCTCATTGCAACCTCTGCCTCCCGGGTTCCAGCAATTCTCCTGCCTCAGCCTCCCAAGTATCTGGGACTACAGGTGTGCACCACCATGCCCGGCTAAGTTTTGTATTTTTAATAGAGACGGGGTTTTGCCACATTGGCAGGCTGGTCTCAAACTCCTGATGTCAAGTGATCCACCCACCCCACCCACCTCTGCATCCCAAAGTGCTGGGATTACAGGAATGAGCTGCCGTGCCCAGCCTCCCCCCTACCCCCCTTTTTTTCTTTCGAGACAGAGATTATAGGTGTGAGCCACTGGACCCAGCCTGTTTTTATTCCTTTTACCAAATCTCCAAGGAATATCTTCCCTTCCAAGTGCGAATGTAACCTTAAGTCAGTTAACCTCTTTGTGATTACTTTTCTTATCTGCAAAGTGACTTAATGATCTTAAGTACTTTTTTTTTTTGAGACAGGGTCTCACTGTCACCCTGGCTGGAGTGCAGTGGCACGATCTCTGATCTCCACTCACTGCAATCTCCTCTTCCCTGGTTCAAGCGGCCCTCCCACCTTAGCCTTCTGGGTAGCTGGGACTACAGATGTGAACCACCACGCCCAGCTAATTTTTGTACTTTTTGTAGAGATGGGGTTTTGCCATGTTGCCCAGGCTGGGATTATTAAGTACTTTTTATCATACAGCAAGATTGACATTTTATATTGGAATACATTTGTCTCTATATAACGGAGATTAACAGGAAAATGACAAGCCTGGGTGCGGTGGCTCATGCCTGTAATCCCAGCACTTTGGGAGGCTGAGGTGGGAGGATCACTTGAGGTCAGGAGTTCGAGACCAGTTTTGCCAAGATGATGAAAGCCCATGTCTACTAAAAATACAAAAATTAGCCCAGCTTGATGGTGGGCGCCTATAATCCCAGCTATTTGAGAGACTGAGGCAGGAGAATCACTTGAACCTGGGCGGCAGAGGTTGCAGTGAGCCGAGATCATGCCACTGCACTCCAGCCTGGGTGGCATAGCGAGACTCTTGTCTCAAGAGAAAACAAAACAAAACAAAAAAAAAACAGGAAAATGACAAAAAGTAATATTACAACTCAGTGAATTTTATAACAAACTTTTTTGGAATTCATTGACTAATACTATACCAAATCCAAAATACTCTCTAGTATACCAAATCCAACTCTACCCTATAGTATAAATTGGATTCTATTTGGACTTGTCTCACTAATCCCTCATACAGTGTGTTTTATTTTTTATTGAAGTAAAAAAATTTGTCATTTTAACCATTTTTAAGTATATAGTTCAGTAATATTAAGTATGTTCATGTTGTTGCGCAATAGATCTTCGGAAGTTTTTCGTCTTGCAACCTGAAACTCTACCCATTAGCAAATTCCCATTTCTCCTTACACTTAGCCCTTGGTAATCATCATTCTTTTTTTTTTTTTTTTTTTTTTTGAGATGGAGTTTTACTCTTGTTGCCCAGGCTGGAGTGCAATGGTGCAATCTCGACTCACCACAACCTCCGCCTCCCAGGTTCAAGCAATTCTACCTCAGCCTCCCGAGTAGCTGGAATTACAGTCATGCACCACCACGCCCGGCTAATTTTGTATTTTTAGTAGAGAAGGGGTTTCTCCATGTTGAGGCTGGTCTCGAACTCCTGACCTCAGGTGATCTGCCCACCTCGGCCTCCCAAAGTGCTGGGATTACAGGCGTGAGCCACTGCGCCTGGCCCATTCTTTCTAATTCTATAAATTTGACTACTTAGTTACCTTACATAAATAAATTCTTATAGTTAGTGTTATTTTTGCTTCCATGCCTTTTTTGTTGTTGTTCATGCTCTTACTTGGAATGCGTTCTATTTTGTCTACCTATGCACATCCTGTTGGGTTTTTTTTTTTTTTGGGGGGTTTTTTTTGTTTTTTTTTGTTTTTTTTTCCCAGACAAGGTCTCAATTTGTTACCCAGGCTGGAGTGCAGCGGCGCCATCTCCACTCACTGCATCCTCAACTTCCTGGGCCCAGGTGATCCTCTCGCCTCAGCCCCTGCAGGTAGCTGGGACTATAGGCATGTGCCACCATGCCCAGCTAAATTTGGTTTTTTTGTTTGTTTGTTTTTGAGACAGAGTCTCACTGTGTCACCCAGGCTGGAGTGCAGTGGCACAATCTCAGCTCACTGCAATCTCTGCCGCCCGGGTTCAAGTGATTCTCCTGCCTCAGCCTCCCAAGCAGCTGGGATTACAGGTGACTGCCACCACGCCAGCTAAGTTTTGTAGTTTTAGTAGAGATGGGGTTTCACCTTGTTGGCCATGCTGGTCTCGAACTCCTGACCTCGTGATCTGCCTGCTTCTGCCTCCCAAAGTGCTGGAATTACAGGCATGAGCCACCACGCCCGGCCAGAATTTTTGTATTTTTAGTAGACACAAGGTTCTTACCCTGTTGCCTAGGCTGGTCTGGAAGTCCTGGACTCAAGCAATTCACCTGCCTTGGCCTCCCAAAATGCTGGGATTACAAGCCACCATGCCCGGCCTAAATCCTGTTGTTTTGTTTTGTTTTATTTTGTTTTGTTTTGTTTTGTTTGTTTTTTGAGACAGAGTCTCGCTATGTCTCTCAGGCTGTAGTGCAGTGGCGCGATCTTGGCTCACTGCCACCTCTGCCTCCCAGGTTCAAGTGATTCTCCTGCCTCAGCCTCCCAAGTAGCTGGGATTACAGGCATGTGCTACTATGTCCGGCTAATTTTTGTATTTTTAGTAGAGACAGGGTTTCACCATGTTGGCCAGGCTGGTCTCGAACTCCTGACCTCGTGATCCACCCACCTCGGCCACCCAAAGTGCTGGGATTACAGGCGTGAGTGGTTTTTATTTCTTAGGCCGGTTTCCTCCATATGATCTTGCAGTAGACATTAATTTCTTTCCTTTTTAATTAAAATACTGTTTGTATTTCACATTTTGATGTTTGTTAAGATTTGTTTTATATTGTTTTTTGTTTTGTCTTGTGTGATAGTCTTAAATCCCTAGTTAGATAATAACTGGAGAGTACCATGTTTCTATATATCTCTCAGTGACTTGCACAGTGCTAGCAGATAGTGCTAAAAAATTATTTATTATTATTATTATTTTGTTATTGTTGTTGTTGTTGTTAGACAGGGTCTTCCTCTGTCACCCAGGCTAGAGGGCAATGGGATGATCATAGCTTACTGCAGCCTCCAACAACTGGGCTCATGTAATTCTCCTGCCTCAGCTTCCCAAGTAGCTGGGATTACAGGCATGAGCCACCATGTCTGGACAAAAATATTTCCAGGTGCAGTGGCTCATGCCTGTAATTCCCACACTTGGGAGGCCGAGCGAGGCTGGAGGATCACTTGAGCCTAGGAGTTCAAGACCAGCTTGGCTAAGATGGCGAGACCCCGTCCCTACAAAAAATTTTAAAAACTAGCCAGGCATGGTGGCATGCACCTATATTCCCAACTACTCAGTGGGCTGAGGTGGGAGGGTCGTTTGAACACAGGAATTTGAGGGGAGAAAAAAAGAAGAGAGAAAGAGAAGTGAAGGAAGGAAGAAAGGAAGGAGGGAGGGAGAGAAGAAAGAAACGAAAGAAAGGAAAAGAAAAGGAAGGAAAGAAAATTGGTACCAGGAAAGCAGGAAAGGGAAATGGAAGTAAAAAAATAATAATAATAATAAAATGAAAATTGGTTAGTCACTATTAACAATTTGTATCCTTATAATCTGGAAACATTATAATTTCAAAAGAAAAAATATTCTTTGGATCATAGGTTCTGAGGTCAGAACAGCATTCCCGTAGTCTAGATGAAGTCAAGTTTTATCTGATCTTAATTGAAATAAATATAGCTGGCCTTGAACAAATCTACTCATGGTATGTGGATAGGAATTAAATTGTAGGGGCATTCACTTGATGGCATTCATTCTTAGAACATTTACCTATGTCTAGCTTTTGGAGTAAAGTCACATAACCTCTAACCAGGTAAGTTTCCTGTGGCTTTATTTAGGATTTTAAATACTCATTTTCAGTGTAATTTTGTTATGTGTGGATTAAGATGACTCTTGGTACTAACATACATTTTCTGATTAAACCTATCTGAACATGAGTTGTTTTTATTTCTTACCCTTTCCAGAGCGATGATTCTGACATTTGGGATGATACAGCACTGATAAAAGCATATGATAAAGCTGTGGCTTCATTTAAGGTATGAAATGCTTGCTTAGTCGTTTTCTTATTTTCTCGTTATTCATTTGGAAAGGAATTGATAACATACGATAAAGTGTTAAAGTACATGTTATTCAGTTTTCATTTTGAAGATTAGATGGTAGTATGAGTTAGTTAAATCAGGTGATATCCTCCTTTAGAAGTTGATAGCCTATATATGTCATCCTTTGTGGAGGCAATTTAAATAAAATTTAAAACATTTATTCCTGGCTGGGTATGGTGGCTCACTCCTGTAATCCCAGCACTTTGAGAGGCTGAGGCGGGTGGATCACCTGAGGTCAGGAGTTTGAGACCAGCCTGGCCAACATGGTGAAACCCCGTCTTTACTAAAAATACAAAAATTAGCCAAGCATGGTGGCACGTGCCTGTAATCCCAGCTGCTTGGGACACTGAGGCAGGAGAATTGCTTGAACCTGGGGGGCAGAGGTTGCAATGATTGCACCACTGCACTCCAGCCTGGGCGATAGAGTGAGACTCCATCTCAGAAAACGAACAAACAATGTATTCCTTTTAGTATTTTTACATTGTATCAAACTATGGAAGTCCTCTAATTGAGATTAATAAGAAAAAGACAATCTGAATTATAATTTTAAACATTTAACAAGCATGTAGTAAAATAATGATGAAGATAAATAGCATTAGTACAGCAATTAATATTTGTAGCATGCTGACAGTGCTCTGTGTGCGTTTCATATATTAAATTACTCTAATCATCCCAAATCCTGTAAGTTGGGTATCAATTCAAGTGTTCCTATTGGGTAGGAATATACAGTTCTTTTAGGAAATGTAGTATGGTTCTGTGTCTCAAACAGGACACTTACACAGTTGGCCAACATCATCACCTTCTCCATTCTCTGAGATGTTTAGTCTTACTGAGCACTAAATATGGGTCATCAATAGTCCAGACTACCTTGAGCAAACAATAGTCCAGACTACCTTGAGCAAACAGAGCATATACTCATACAGTGTATAAAGAGCACCAAGCATACAGATTTCATGTCTTTCTCATAGTTACTCTTGTAACATGAGCTAAAGATCAGACCTCTATGTCACCTTTGTAACTGATTTCTAGATTTTTTTTTTTTTTTGAGATGGGGTCTTGCCCTGTCACCCAGGCTGGAGTGTAGTGGCGTGATCATGCCTCATTGGAGCCTTCAACTCATGAGCTCAAACAATCCTCCTACCTCAGCTTCCTGAGTAGTTGGGACCACAGGTGTGTGCCACCACACCCAGCTCATTTTTGTATTCTTTGTAGAGATGCAGTCTCACCCTGTTGCCCACGCTGGCCTGGAACTCCTGAGCTCAAAAGATCCCTCCGCCTTGACCTTCCAAAGTGCTGGGATTACAAGCATGAACCACTGCACCCGGCCTAGATTTTTAAATGTGCTTTCCAGTATACACTGAAACTAGAAGTCGACTAAAGAATTACCAAGAGAATTCTATAAAATAGAGATTGAAATGGGGCTCGATGTGGGATGGGTTGGTGATATTGCAGGGAGAAGTAATCTGAGTAAAGGAGGAAAAGAACTGATTTGGGAAAACGATAGTTTTAGTAGTGAGTTTGAGTATGAATTAAGTTGAGATTGAATTTGAATTAAGTTGAGGTTGAATATGAATTAAGTTGAGGTTGAGTTTGAGGTATGAATTAAGATGTGAAATTGATCATTGGAAATGTTAGATTGAGAAAAGTCACAGCTGGATTAATAGCTTCAGAAGTGTGTTTGCAGACAGTTGCAACTAAAGTAATAAGAATAGATGGCCTTGGCCGGGCGCGGTGGCTCACGCCTGTAATCCCAGTACTTTGGGAGGCTGAGGCGAGCAAATCACGAGGTCAGGAGTTCAAGACCAGCCTGGCCCACATGGTGAAACCCCGTCTTTATTAAAAATACAAAAATTAGCTGTGCACAGTGGTGCACGCCTGTAATCCCAGCTACTCGGGAGGCTGAGACAGGAGAATCGCTTGAACCTGGGAGGTGGAGGTTGCAGTGAGCTGAGATCAGTGTGACTGCACTCCAGCCCGGTGACAGAGTGAGACTCTGTGTAAAAAAATAAAATAAATAAAATAATGGCCGTAAGCAAGTAAAGAAGGATGGCCAGCTCTTATTGGGAATGCCTAAATCTAAGGCTTGATCAGAAGTAATGAAACCGTTGGGGCCCTACATTGCTATGACATCCAAAGGGCCATGAATATCAGGAAGAAAGATAATTAACAGGGTCTAATGTTACAGAGAGGTTGAGAGCAAGGAGATTTGATTAAAAGGGTCTTTAGAGCTGATGTCAGGTGTATGATGCCTTTAAGAGCAGTTTTTATAGTGCAGGGGGTGGTCAAAAGAGAAAATAGGTGCTTTCTGAGGTGACGGAGCCTTGAGACTAGCTTATAGTAGTAACTGGGTTATGTCGTGACTTTTATTCTGTGCACCACCCTGTAACATGTACATTTTTATTCCTATTTTCGTAGCATGCTCTAAAGAATGGTGACATTTGTGAAACTTCGGGTAAACCAAAAACCACACCTAAAAGAAAACCTGCTAAGAAGAATAAAAGCCAAAAGAAGAATACTGCAGCTTCCTTACAACAGGTTATTTTAAAATGTTGAGATTTAACTTCAAAGGATGTCTCATTAGTCCTTATTTAATAGTGTAAAATGTCTTTAACTTAAGTGATTAGTACAGTGTTTCTATTGACATATACTTATACAACTTCAAAAACAACTATTAAATTTTCTGTTATTTAGGAACATGCATATTAGTCATGAAAGTATAAAGAATTAGATGGGAATGATAAATGCTAAAATCAGGACATGTGTTCCATTTGTGAATGGAAGGCAGGGAGAAGGTGCCGTTTGGAAGGAGTACCCAAGAGCCGTAAGCTGAATTGGCAGTGTTTTACATCTTAAGCTGAGAGATAGATTTTTTTTTCCCCTTTTTCTTTAAAAACTCTAAAACTGTTAATTCCAAGGAACCCAGAAGTCTAGGTAGATTATTTCTGCTAGTTAAAAGCAGTAGTCCTGAAAGCTGAATATTTTGGTGTCTTTTGAGCCAACTTTAGTTTCATCATTACCAAGGGGGAAGAGAGCTAACAGTTGATGAGCACTTGCTCTAGGCCAGTCCAGAGTGCTGGGCACCATACGCATTTTATCTCCCTCCCGCTATTCACAACAAATATGGGAGGTAGTTTATATTATAGCCATCTAATAAGATGGGGAAACTAAGACTCAAAGAGATTCAGAAACTTGTCCATGATTATAAATGTAAGAGAGTTGGAATTCAGATTTATGTATTTAGACCCCAAGCCTTTCTCATTACATCATTTTGCCTTCCAAATCTCTACCCTCTATCCTTCACCTCCCCACTGATCAAAACGAGATGATAGTTTGCCCTCTTCAAAAGAAATGTGTGCATGTATATATCTTTGATTTCTTTTGTAGTGGAAAGTTGGGGACAAATGTTCTGCCATTTGGTCAGAAGACGGTTGCATTTACCCAGCTACCATTGCTTCAATTGATTTTAAGAGAGAAACCTGTGTTGTGGTTTACACTGGATATGGAAATAGAGAGGAGCAAAATCTGTCCGATCTACTTTCCCCAATCTGTGAAGTAGCTAATAATATAGAACAGAATGCTCAAGAGGTAAGGATACAAAAAAAAAAAAATTCAATTTCTGGAAGCAGAGACTAGATGAGAAACTGTTAAACAGTATACACAGTTGTCAGTTTGATCCACCGAGGCATTAATTTTTTCTTAATCACACCCTTATAACAAAAACCTGCATATTTTTTCTTTTTAAAGAATGAAAATGAAAGCCAAGTTTCAACAGATGAAAGTGAGAACTCCAGGTCTCCTGGAAATAAATCAGATAACATCAAGCCCAAATCTGCTCCATGGAACTCTTTTCTCCCTCCACCACCCCCCATGCCAGGGCCAAGACTGGGACCAGGAAAGGTAAACCTTCTATGAAAGTTTTCCAGAAAATAGTTAATGTCGGGACATTTAACCTCTCTGTTAACTAATTTGTAGCTCTCCCATGAAACTTTTGTAGCTTAAATACACAAGAATTTTTTGAAAAGGAAATAAGATAATGATGCAAAATAGTTAATTTTTTAAAAAAATGTTAGACACTGCAGTGGATGCAACAAAATACTTTATATGAAAGATTTATCCAGTTAACTTTTGTGGAGTATTAGGTATTAGACTAATAATTAGCACACTTACTTAAGTTAGAAAGTATAATAATGCGCCGGACGCGGTAGCTCACGCCTGTAATCCCAGCACTTTGGGAGGCCAAGGTGGGCGGATCACAAGGTCAGGAGATCGAGACCATCCTGGCTAACACGGTGAAACCCCATCTCTACTGAAAATACAAAAAAATTTGCCGGGCGTGATGGTGGGCACCTGTAGTCCCAGCTACTCGGGAGGCTGAGGCAGGAGGATGGTGTGAACCCCGGAGGCAGAGCTTGCAGTGAGTCAAGATCGTGCCACTGCACTCCAACCTGGGCGACAGAATGAGACTCCATCTCAAACAAAAAAACAAAACAAAACAAAAAAAAGTGTAATAATAATTTATCATTAGCTGGATGATATGCTGTTGTTTCCCATGTCACCTGTATAAGATATGTAAAATAAGAACACATTATTTACATCTAATATAGATAAAATCCTGAGGCGCTCTCAGATTGTTTTGTAGAGTTCAAATGTAAATATTGTTTTCATTTATGGTCCTTTTGGTTATAAGTAACAGAAATCAACTCTAAAAAGATTTTTATTATAGGTTAGATTATGTCATGGAACCTTAAGGCTTGTCCCTTTCTAGTTCTTTTGTGTAAAGCGGTGATTTCTTCCATGGAGGGAATGGTATTTAGGCAATTTTTTTTTTTTTTCGAGATGGAGTCTTGCTCTGTCGCTCAGGCTGGAGTGCAGTGGCACCATTTCAGCTCACTGCAACTTCCACCTCCTGGGTTCAAGTGATTCTCCTGCTTCAGCCTCCCAAGTAGCTGAGATTACAGGCACCCGCCACCACACCCGGCTTATTTTGTATTTTTAGTAGAGATGGGGTTTCACCATGTTGGCCAGGCTGGTCTTGAACTCCTGACCTCAAGTGATCTCCCCACCTTGGCCTTCCAAAGTGCTAGGATTACAGGCGCCTAGCCTAGGCAGTCATTTTCAAAAAACAAGCATGACTCACCAAAAGTTTTAAGATTTTCTGTGATAATGTTCTTATTGAGGCTTACATTATATTACAGTTTCTTGAATCTAAAATGATGTACCCTCTTAGGATATATACATCATGCTTCATTGGTCTCAGGGGGCTGATTTTTATAAGGAGAGATTTGCTAGTTTTCACAATATGTCCTCTAAGTTGGCATGTATAGCTAAACAGGCTTTCATAAAAATATACAATTTAGTTAATGAAATTTGGGATATAGTCTTTTATGATTGAAATAATTTTGCTAAATAGACTGTCTCTGATTTATTAGGTAATCACCACTCTTATTTTGTTTTACTTCCTTAATGTCTACATAGAAAGGAAATGAGAAAAATCCAGAGGTTGTCATTTGACTTATGAGTCTGTTTGACTTCAGGATTTGGTACATGAAATTTCACTTAATCTTTTTGATATGTATAAAACAAATATTCTGGGTAATTATTTTTATCCTTTTGGTTTTGAGTCCTTTTTATTCCTATCATATTGAAATTGGTAAGTTAATTTTCCTTTGAAATATTCCTTATAGCCAGGTCTAAAATTCAATGGCCCACCACCGCCACCGCCACCACCACCACCCCACTTACTATCATGCTGGCTGCCTCCATTTCCTTCTGGACCACCAGTAAGTAAAAAAGAGTATAGGTTAGATTTTGCTTTCACATACAATTTGATAATTAGCAGAATAGAGGATTGTAAAATGTCATTGTAGAACATCCCTTGGGCCAGATTCTAATGGGTAGAAATTTGAACTAAACCTCTGGGTTTTGTTTGTTTTTAATGCCTTTCTGTTACCCAGATGCAGTGCTCTTGTAGTCCCAAGTCTAAGCTCTAGGTTGCCTTCTTTCCTGGCAGAAGTTGGTGTCTATGCCATAAGGAGGTAGTTCCTGTTAGAAGGGATTTAATTATACCTTATATAAGGAATTAGTGTTTGCCCTTCTAGGTATAGTTGGATGTTAGCTTCTGATGTAAACTGGATTTCTTTTTCTTTCTCTCTCTTTTTTTTTTTTTGTTTTGGAGGCAGAGTTTTGCCCTTGTACCCCAGGCTGGAGTGCAGTGGTGTGATCTCAGCTCACAGCAACCTCCGCCTCCTGGGTTCAAGCAATTCTGCCTCGGCCTCCCAAGTAGCTGGGATTACAGGCGACTGCCACCACACCCGGCTAATTTTTGTTTTATTAGTAGAGATGGGGTTTCACCATGTTGGCCAGACTGATCTTGAACTCCTGACCTCAGGTGATCCACCCGCCTTGGCCTCCCAAAGCGCTGGGATTACAGGCGTGAGCTGCCGCACCCAGCTGTAAACTGGATTTCTAATGGTAGATTTTTAGGTATTAACAATAGATAAAAAGATACTTTTTGGCATACTGTGTATTGGGATGGGGTTAGAACAGGTGTTCTACCCAAGACATTTACTTAAAATCGCCCTCGAAATGCTATGTGAGCTGTGTGTGTGTGTGTGTGTGTGTGTGTGTATTAAGGAAAAGCATGAAAGTATTTATGCTTGATTTTTTTTTTTTACTCATAGCTTCATAGTGGAACAGATACATAGTCTAAATCAAAATGTTTAAACTTTTTATGTCACTTGCTGTCTTTTCGTCCTCGTTAAATTTAATTTTGTTGGTCTTTTGTTGTTATTGGTTGGTTTTCTCCAAATGCTAGCTATGTTAAGAAATTTAAGGCCAGGTACAGTGGCTCATGCCTGTAATCCCGGCATTTTAGAAGGCTGAGGCAGGAGGATCACTTGAGCTCAGGAGTTTGAGACCAGTCTGGGCAACATAGCAAGACCTCGTCTTTGTTTAGGGGAAAAAAAAGAAATTTAAGTAGGAGATTATATAAGCAAAAATACAATTAATTTCCAGCATTCACTATATAATATAAATCTCCAGACTTTACTTTTTTGTTTACTGGATATAAACAATATCTTTTTCTGTCTCCAGATAATTCCCCCACCACCTCCCATATGTCCAGATTCTCTTGATGATGCTGATGCTTTGGGAAGTATGTTAATTTCATGGTACATGAGTGGCTATCATACTGGCTATTATATGGTAAGTAATCACTCAGCATCTTTTCCTGACAATTTTTTTGTAGTTATGTGACTTTGTTTTGTAAATTTATAAAATACTACTTGCTTCTCTCTTTATATTACTAAAAAATAAAAATAAAAAAATACAACTGTCTGAGGCTTAAATTACTCTTGCATTGTCCCTAAGTATAATTTTAGTTAATTTTAAAAAGCTTTCATGCTATTGTTAGATTATTTTGATTATACACTTTTGAATTGAAATTATACTTTTTCTAAATAATGTTTTAATCTCTGATTTGAAATTGATTGTAGGGAATGGAAAAGATGGGATAATTTTTCATAAATGAAAAATGAAATTCTTTTTTTTTTTTTTTTTTTTTTGAGACGGAGTCTTGCTCTGTTGCCCAGGCTGGAGTGCAATGGCGTGATCTTGGCTCACAGCAAGCTCTGCCTCCTGGATTCACGCCATTCTCCTGCCTCAGCCTCAGAGGTAGCTGGGACTACAGGTGCCTGCCACCACGCCTGTCTAATTTTTTGTATTTTTTTGTAAAGACAGGGTTTCACTGTGTTAGCCAGGATGGTCTCAATCTCCTGACCCCGTGATCCACCCGCCTCGGCCTTCCAAGAGAAATGAAATTTTTTTAATGCACAAAGATCTGGGGTAATGTGTACCACATTGAACCTTGGGGAGTATGGCTTCAAACTTGTCACTTTATACGTTAGTCTCCTACGGACATGTTCTATTGTATTTTAGTCAGAACATTTAAAATTATTTTATTTTATTTTATTTTTTTTTTTTTTTTGAGACGGAGTCTCGCTCTGTCACCCAGGCTGGAGTACAGTGGCGCAGTCTCGGCTCACTGCAAGCTCCGCCTCCCGGGTTCACGCCATTCTCCTGCCTCAGCCTCTCCGAGTAGCTGGGACTACAGGCGCCCGCCACCACGCCCGGCTAATTTTTTTTTATTTTTAGTAGAGACGGGGTTTCACCGTGGTCTCGATCTCCTGACCTCGTGATCCACCCGCCTCGGCCTCCCAAAGTGCTGGGATTACAAGCGTGAGCCACCGCGCCCGGCCTAAAATTATTTTTAAAAGTAAGCTCTTGTGCCCTGCTAAAATTATGATGTGATATTGTAGGCACTTGTATTTTTAGTAAATTAATATAGAAGAAACAACTGACTTAAAGGTGTATGTTTTTAAATGTATCATCTGTGTGTGCCCCCATTAATATTCTTATTTAAAAGTTAAGGCCAGACATGGTGGCTTACAACTGTAATCCCAACAGTTTGTGAGGCCGAGGCAGGCAGATCACTTGAGGTCAGGAGTTTGAGACCAGCCTGGCCAACATGATGAAACCTTGTCTCTACTAAAAATACCAAAAAAAATTTAGCCAGGCATGGTGGCACATGCCTGTAATCCGAGCTACTTGGGAGGCTGTGGCAGGAAAATTGCTTTAATCTGGGAGGCAGAGGTTGCAGTGAGTTGAGATTGTGCCACTGCACTCCACCCTTGGTGACAGAGTGAGATTCCATCTCAAAAAAAGAAAAAGGCCTGGCACGGTGGCTCACACCTATAATCCCAGTACTTTGGGAGGTAGAGGCAGGTGGATCACTTGAGGTTAGGAGTTCAGGACCAGCCTGGCCAACATGGTGACTACTCCATTTCTACTAAATACACAAAACTTAGCCCAGTGGCGGGCAGTTGTAATCCCAGCTACTTGAGAGGTTGAGGCAGGAGAATCACTTGAACCTGGGAGGCAGAGGTTGCAGTGAGCCGAGATCACACCGCTGCACTCTAGCCTGGCCAACAGAGTGAGAATTTGCGGAGGGAAAAAAAAGTCACGCTTCAGTTGTTGTAGTATAACCTTGGTATATTGTATGTATCATGAATTCCTCATTTTAATGACCAAAAAGTAATAAATCAACAGCTTGTAATTTGTTTTGAGATCAGTTATCTGACTGTAACACTGTAGGCTTTTGTGTTTTTTAAATTATGAAATATTTGAAAAAAATACATAATGTATATATAAAGTATTGGTATAATTTATGTTCTAAATAACTTTCTTGAGAAATAATTCACATGGTGTGCAGTTTACCTTTGAAAGTATACAAGTTGGCTGGGCACAATGGCTCACGCCTGTAATCCCAGCACTTTGGGAGGCCAAGGCAGGTGGATCACGAGGTCAGGAGATCGAGACCATCCTGGCTAACATGGTGAAACCCCGTCTCTACTAAAAGTACAAAAACAAATTAGCCGGGCATGTTGGCGGGCACCTTTTGTCCCAGCTGCTCGGGAGGCTGAGGCAGGAGAGTGGCGTGAACCCAGGAGGTGGAGCTTGCAGTGAGCCGAGATTGTGCCAGTGCACTCCAGCCTGGGCGACAGAGCGAGACTCTGTCTCAAAAAATAAAATAAAAAAGAAAGTATACAAGTCAGTGGTTTTGGTTTTCAGTTATGCAACCATCACTACAATTTAAGAACATTTTCATCACCCCAAAAAGAAACCCTGTTACCTTCATTTTCCCCAGCCCTAGGCAGTCAGTACACTTTCTGTCTCTATGAATTTGTCTATTTTAGATATTATATATAAACGGAATTATACGATATGTGGTCTTTTGTGTCTGGCTTCTTTCACTTAGCATGCTATTTTCAAGATTCATCCATGCTGTAGAATGCACCAGTACTGCATTCCTTCTTATTGCTGAATATTCTGTTGTTTGGTTATATCACATTTTATCCATTCATCAGTTCATGGACATTTAGGTTGTTTTTATTTTTGGGCTATAATGAATAATGTTGCTATGAACATTCGTTTGTGTTCTTTTTGTTTTTTTGGTTTTTTGGGTTTTTTTTGTTTTGTTTTTGTTTTTGAGACAGTCTTGCTCTGTCTCCTAAGCTGGAGTGCAGTGGCATGATCTTGGCTTACTGCAAGCTCTGCCTCCCGGGTTCACACCATTCTCCTGCCTCAGCCCGACAAGTAGCTGGGACTACAGGCGTGTGCCACCATGCACGGCTAATTTTTTGTATTTTTAGTAGAGATGGGGTTTCACCGTGTTAGCCAGGATGGTCTCGATCTCCTGACCTCGTGATCTGCCTGCCTAGGCCTCCCAAAGTGCTGGGATTACAGGCGTGAGCCACTGCACCTGGCCTTAAGTGTTTTTAATACGTCATTGCCTTAAGCTAACAATTCTTAACCTTTGTTCTACTGAAGCCACGTGGTTGAGATAGGCTCTGAGTCTAGCTTTTAACCTCTATCTTTTTGTCTTAGAAATCTAAGCAGAATGCAAATGACTAAGAATAATGTTGTTGAAATAACATAAAATAGGTTATAACTTTGATACTCATTAGTAACAAATCTTTCAATACATCTTACGGTCTGTTAGGTGTAGATTAGTAATGAAGTGGGAAGCCACTGCAAGCTAGTATACATGTAGGGAAAGATAGAAAGCATTGAAGCCAGAAGAGAGACAGAGGACATTTGGGCTAGATCTGACAAGAAAAACAAATGTTTTAGTATTAATTTTTGACTTTAAATTTTTTTTTTATTTAGTGAATACTGGTGTTTAATGGTCTCATTTTAATAAGTATGACACAGGTAGTTTAAGGTCATATATTTTATTTGATGAAAATAAGGTATAGGCCGGGCACGGTGGCTCACACCTGTAATCCCAGCACTTTGGGAGGCCGAGGCAGGCGGATCACCTGAGGTCGGGAGTTAGAGACTAGCCTCAACATGGAGAAACCCCGTCTCTACTAAAAAAAATACAAAATTAGGCGGGCGTGGTGGTGCATGCCTGTAATCCCAGCTACTCAGGAGGCTGAGGCAGGAGAATTGCTTGAACCTGGGAGGTGGAGGTTGCGGTGAGCCGAGATCACCTCATTGCACTCCAGCCTGGGCAATAAGAGCAAAACTCCATCTCAAAAAAAAAAAAATAAGGTATAAGCGGGCTCAGGAACATCATTGGACATACTGAAAGAAGAAAAATCAGCTGGGCGCAGTGGCTCACGCCGGTAATCCCAACACTTTGGGAGGCCAAGGCGGGTGAATCACCTGAAGTCGGGAGTTCCAGATCAGCCTGACCAACATGGAGAAACCCTGTCTCTACTAAAAATACAAAACTAGCCGGGCATGGTGGCGCATGCCTGTAATCCCAGCTACTTGGGAGGCTGAGGCAGGAGAGTTGCTTGAACTGAGAAGGCGGAGGTTGCGGTGAGCCAAGATTGCACCATTGCACTCCAGCCTGGGCAACAAGAGCGAAACTCCGTCTCAAAAAAAAAAGGAAGAAAAATATTTTTTTAAATTAATTAGTTTATTTATTTTTTAAGATGGAGTTTTGCCCTGTCGCCCAGGCTGGGGTGCAATGGTGCAATCTCGGCTCACTGCAACCTCCGCCTCCTGGGTTCAAGTGATTCTCCTGCCTCAGCTTCCCGAGTAGCTGTGATTACAGCCATATGCCACCACGCCCAGCCAGTTTTGTGTTTTGTTTTGTTTTTTGTTTTTTTTTTTTGAGATGGTGTCTTGCTCTGTCCCCCAAGCTGGAGTGCAGCGGCGCGATCTTGGCTCACTGCAAGCTCTGCCTCCCAGGTTCACACCATTCTCTTGCCTCAGCCTCCCGAGTAGCTGGGACTACAGGTGCCCGCCACCACACCCGGCTAATTTTTTTGTGTTTTTAGTAGAGATGGGGTTTCACTGTGTTAGCCAGGATGGTCTCGATCTCCTGACCTTTTGATCCACCCGCCTCAGCCTCCCCAAGTGCTGGGATTATAGGCGTGAGCCACTGTGCCCGGCCTAGTCTTGTATTTTTAGTAGAGTCGGGGTTTCTCCATGTTGGTCAGGCTGTTCTCCAAATCCGACCTCAGGTGATCCGCCCGCCTTGGCCTCCAAAAGTGCAAGGCATTACAGGCATGAGCCACTGTGACCGGCAATGTTTTTAAATTTTTTAAATTTAAATTTTATTTTTTAGAGACCAGGTCTCACTCTATTGCTCAGGCTGGAGTGCAAGGGCACATTCACAGCTCACTGCAGCCTTGACCTCCAGGGCTCAAGCAGTCCTCTCACCTCAGTTTCCCGAGTAGCTGGGACTACAGTGATAATGCCACTGCACCTGGCTAATTTTTATTTTTATTTATTTATTTTTTTTTGAGACAGAGTCTTGCTCTGTCACCCAGGCTGGAGTGCAGTGGTGTAAATCTCAGCTCACTGCAGCCTCCGCCTCCTGGGTTCAAGTGATTCTCCTGCCTCAGCCTCCCAAGTAGCTGGGATTAGAGGTCCCCACCACCATGCCTGGCTAATTTTTTGTACTTTCAGTAGAAATGGGGTTTTGCCATGTTGGCCAGGCTGTTCTCGAACTCCTGAGCTCAGGTGATCCAACTGTCTCGGCCTCCCAAAGTGCTGGGATTACAGGCGTGAGCCACTGTGCCTAGCCTGAGCCACCACGCCGGCCTAATTTTTAAATTTTTTGTAGAGACAGGGTCTCATTATGTTGCCCAGGGTGGTGTCAAGCTCCAGGTCTCAAGTGATCCCCCTACCTCTGCCTCCCAAAGTTGTGGGATTGTAGGCATGAGCCACTGCAAGAAAACCTTAACTGCAGCCTAATAATTGTTTTCTTTGGGATAACTTTTAAAGTACATTAAAAGACTATCAACTTAATTTCTGATCATATTTTGTTGAATAAAATAAGTAAAATGTCTTGTGAAACAAAATGCTTTTTAACATCCATATAAAGCTATCTATATATAGCTATCTATGTCTATATAGCTATTTTTTTTAACTTCCTTTATTTTCCTTACAGGGTTTCAGACAAAATCAAAAAGAAGGAAGGTGCTCACATTCCTTAAATTAAGGAGTAAGTCTGCCAGCATTATGAAAGTGAATCTTACTTTTGTAAAACTTTATGGTTTGTGGAAAACAAATGTTTTTGAACATTTAAAAAGTTCAGATGTTAAAAAGTTGAAAGGTTAATGTAAAACAATCAATATTAAAGAATTTTGATGCCAAAACTATTAGATAAAAGGTTAATCTACATCCCTACTAGAATTCTCATACTTAACTGGTTGGTTATGTGGAAGAAACATACTTTCACAATAAAGAGCTTTAGGATATGATGCCATTTTATATCACTAGTAGGCAGACCAGCAGACTTTTTTTTATTGTGATATGGGATAACCTAGGCATACTGCACTGTACACTCTGACATATGAAGTGCTCTAGTCAAGTTTAACTGGTGTCCACAGAGGACATGGTTTAACTGGAATTCGTCAAGCCTCTGGTTCTAATTTCTCATTTGCAGGAAATGCTGGCATAGAGCAGCACTAAATGACACCACTAAAGAAACGATCAGACAGATCTGGAATGTGAAGCGTTATAGAAGATAACTGGCCTCATTTCTTCAAAATATCAAGTGTTGGGAAAGAAAAAAGGAAGTGGAATGGGTAACTCTTCTTGATTAAAAGTTATGTAATAACCAAATGCAATGTGAAATATTTTACTGGACTCTATTTTGAAAAACCATCTGTAAAAGACTGGGGTGGGGGTGGGAGGCCAGCACGGTGGTGAGGCAGTTGAGAAAATTTGAATGTGGATTAGATTTTGAATGATATTGGATAATTATTGGTAATTTTATGAGCTGTGAGAAGGGTGTTGTAGTTTATAAAAGACTGTCTTAATTTGCATACTTAAGCATTTAGGAATGAAGTGTTAGAGTGTCTTAAAATGTTTCAAATGGTTTAACAAAATGTATGTGAGGCGTATGTGGCAAAATGTTACAGAATCTAACTGGTGGACATGGCTGTTCATTGTACTGTTTTTTTCTATCTTCTATATGTTTAAAAGTATATAATAAAAATATTTAATTTTTTTTTAAATTAGCTGTATCTGTGATTGTATTTCTTTTTTGCATATTATTTTGCCCTTTGGCCCATATTTTGATATGGATGCCACCATAGCATTTTGTGTATGTGCATGTGTATTCCCACTTAATGTCACATTTTTCATGTCTTTACATATTCTTATTTTTGTTTGTTTTTGAGACAGAGTCTCGCTCTGCTGCCCACGCTGGAGTGCAGTGGTGCAATCTCAGCTCACTGCAACCTCTGCTATCCGGGTTCAAGCGGTTCTCGTGCCTCACCCACGTGAGTAGTTGGGATTACAGGCATGTGGCACCATGCCCCACTAAGTTTTGTATTTTTAGTAGAGATGGAGTTTCACCATGTTGGCCAGGCTGGTCTCAAACTCCTGCCCTCAAGTGATTCGACCACCCTGGCCTCCCAAAGTGCTGGGATTACAGCCGTGAGCCACCGCACACGGCCTCTCTATTTATTTCTATACATAGCTTTTCACATTATATTATGTTTATATATTGTTTATATCTGTATTTCCTCTTTCATTAGAGAAAAGGTAGTACATCTTATTCTTCATGGTGTCTACAATATCTGGCAGTTTTTGGAAGTCAAGCGTGAGCTTAGAGCATAGACTGGTGGGATTGTCAAAGAAGAGGGCAACTGGAAGAGAACTGTCAGTTATTTTTGGATCAGTCTTTAATTCATCATGACGGGTTAGGCATTAGTTGTATTTCTTGCTAATTTTGAAGAAGACTTATTAACAAATCCTACATTAGGTAAATGGTTTTGAAAGTTGAGTTAATCATAATGGTGTTTGACCTAGGACTATTTTTAGGCCCTATTTATCTTAATATCGAATAATGAAGCAGCTTCCCCCTTAGATATAGACAGAAAACATCAAAGCCACCACACTACCTGGCTGGATTTATCCTAGTAATAAAATCAAAACTGAGCTAGTTCTCTGGCTTTCATTGTAATAATTGTCCTTGTGGTTGTAAGGAATCTAGATGAAAATTACATGGTCTGTTCTACAGCCACAGCTGTACCTACGTTCAGAAGACAGACAAAAGTTGCTGTGTTTGAAGAGATCCTTCATTAAGGGATCAGACAGAGATTACTTTGAGACATATTCTAAGTTTAACTTTTCTGCAGGGTTGCCATTAACAGAAATAAACTACACAGTTAATTTCTTTTTGTTTTTGATACAGTCTAACTCTCACCCAAGCTGGAGTGCAGTGGCGCAATTTCAGCTCACTGCAACCTCTGCCTCCCAGGTTCAAGCAATTCTCCTGCCTCAGCCTCCCGAGCAGCTGGGACTACAGGCATGTGCCACTATGCCTGGCTAATTTTTGTATTTTTAGTAGTAGAGACGTGGTTTCGCCACGTTGGCCAGGCTGGTCTGGAACTCCTGACCCCAGGTAATCCACCTGCCTCGGCCTCCCAAAGTGCTGGGATTACAAGCTTGAGCCACTACGCCTGACCCAGAGTTAACTTTTTAAAAAAGTTTTTATGAACTTAAGTCTTGTGATGTTTGAAATAATGGATTCAATTTAGACATCAAATTCCAGAAGTTACTAAGAGCAGCTGGGCGCGGCAGCTCACACCTGTAATCCCAGCACTTTGGGAGGCCGAGGCGGGTGGATCACCTGAGATCAGGAGTTCCAGACCAGCCTGGCCAACATAGTAAAACCCTGTCTCTACTAAAAATACAAAAATTAGCCCGGCATGGTGGCACGCCCTGTAGTCCCAGCTACTTGGGAGGCTGAGGCAGGAGAATTGCTTGAACCCGGGAGGTGGAGGTTGTGGTGAGCCGAGATTGTGCCGCTGTACTCAAGCCTGGGCTAAAAAGCGAGACTCCGTCTCAAAAAAAAAAAAAAAAAAACACGTTACTAAGAGCAACTCTGGGCCAGGCACGGTGGCTTACACCTGTAATCCCAGCATTTTGGGAGGACGAGACAGGCGGATCACTTGAGCCCAGGAGTTCAAGACCAGCATAAGCAACAACGCAAAACCCCTGACTCTACAAAAAATGAAAGAATTAGCAAGGCATGGTGGTGCATGCCTGTAGTCCCAGCTACTGGAGAGGCTGAGGCAAAAGGATCACTTGAGTACAGGAGGTTGAGGCTGTATAATGAGCCATGTTCACACCATTGCACTTCAGCCTGGGCAACAGACTGAGACCCTGTCTCAAAAAAAAAAACCAAACCAAAGCAACAAACAAAAAACAAGAGCAACTCTGCTTCTGTACACTTTTTTTTTTTTTTTGGTAGTGACATGATCTATGTTGCCCAAGCTGGTCTCGAGTTCCTGGGTTCAAGCCATTCTCCCACCTCGGGCTCCCAAAGTGCTAGGATTACAGGCATGAATCACCATGCCCAGCCCTTCTGTACACTTTTCACAGTGTACCCTTTTGTGTTTTTTAAAATGTTTGTGTATACATTTATTGTGAATTTTTAAAAAACATGTAATTAAGGCCAGGCATGGTGGCTCATACCTGTAATCCTAGCACTTTGAGAGGCTGAGGTGGGTGGATCACCTGAGGTCGGTAGTTCGAGACCAGCCTGGCCCAACATGGTGAAACCCCATCTCTACTAAAAATACAAAAAAAAAATTAGCTCGGCATGGTGGTGGGCGCCTGTAATCCCAGCTACTGGAGAGGCTGAAGCATGAGAATCACTTGAACCCAGGAGGCGGAGGTTGCAGTGAGCCAAGATCATGCCACTACACTCCAGCCTGGGTGACTCAGTGACTGTCTCAAAAAGAAAAAAAGTAATTAAGTTCTGTCATGATATATCATCATTACCCTTTTTGAACTTTTAAAATTTTTTATCTTTAGAGGTAATTCATATAATGTTCTTCAATAGATAAGTGCTTTTCTGTCAATATATCTTGGAGAACACACCATATCAGTATTTAAAACTCTCATTCTTCCTATTTCTCCACATCCTCTCCAGCACCCGTTGTTTCCTGACTTTTTAATGATTGCCATTCTAACTGGTGTGAGATGGTATCTTATTGTGGTTTTGATTTGCATTTCTCTGATGGCCAGTGATGGTGAGCATTTTTTCATGTGTTTTTTAGCTGCATAAATGTCTTCTTTTGAGAAGTGTCTGTTCATGTCCTTCGCCCACTTTTTGATGGGGTTGTCTGTTTTTTTCTTGTAAATTTGTTTGAGTTCGTTGTAGATTCTGGATATTAGCCCTTTGTCAGATGAGTAGATTGCAAAAATTTTCTCCCATTTTGTAGGTTGCCTGTTCACTCTGATGGTAGTTTCTTTTGCTGTGCAGAAGCTCTTTAGTTTAATTAGATCCCAGTTTTGGCTTTTGTTGCCGTTGCTTTTGGTGTTTTAGACATGAAGTCCTTGCCCATGCCTATGTCCTGAATGGTAATGCCTAGGTTTTCTTCTAGGGTTTTTATGGTTTTAGGTCTAACATTTAAGTCTTTAATCCATCTTGAATTAATTTTTGTATAAGGTGTAAGGAAGGGATCCAGTTTCAGCTTTCTACATATGGCTAGCCAGTTTCCCAGCACCATTTATTAAATAGGGAATCCTTTCCCCATTGCTTGTTTTTCTCAGGTTTGTCAAAGATCAGATAGTTGTAGATATGCGGCGTTATTTCTGAGAGCTCTGTTCTGTTCCATTGGTCTATATCTCTGTTTTGGTACCAGTACCATGCTGTTTTGGTCACTGTAGCCTTGTAGTATAGTTTGAAGTCAGGTAGCGTGATGCCTCCAGCTTTGTTCTTTTGGCTTAGGATTGACTTGGCGATGCGGGCTTTTTTTTGGTTCCATATGAACTTTAAAGTAGTTTTTTCCAATTCTGTGAAGAAAGTCATTGGTAGCTTGATGGGGATGGCATTGAATCTGTAAATTACCTTGGGCAGTATGGCCATTTTCATGATATTGATTCTTCCTACCCATGAGCATGGAATGTTCTTCCATTTGTTTGTATCCTCTTTTATTTCATTGAGCAGTGGTTTGTAGTTCTCCTTGAAGAGGTCCTTCACATCCCTTGTAAGTTGGATTCCTAGGTATTTTATTCTCTTTGAAGCAATTGTGAATGGGAGTTCACTCATGATTTGGCTCTCTGTTTGTCTGTTATTGCTGTATAAGAATGCTTGTGATTTTTGTACATTGATTTTGTATCCTGAGACTTTGCTGAAGTTGCTTATCAGCTTAAGGAGATTTTGGGCTGAGACAATGGGGTTTTCTAGATATACAATCATGTAATCTGCAAACAGGGACAATTTGGCTTCCTCTTTTCCTAATTGAATACCCGTTATTTCTTTCTCCTGCCTAATTGCCCTGGCCAGAACTTCCAACACTATGTTGAATAGGAGTGGTGAGAGAGGGCATCCCTGTCTTGTGCGTGTTTTCAAAGGGAATGCTTCCAGTTTTTGCCCATTCAGTATGATATTGGCTGTGGGTTTGTCATAGATAGCTCTTATTATTTTGAGATACGTCCCATCAATACCTCATTTATTGAGAGTTTTTAGCATGAAGGATTGTTGAATTTTGTCAAAGGCCTTTTCTGCATCTATTGAGATAATCATGTGGTTTTTGTCTTTGGTTCTGTTTATATGCTGGATTACATTTATTGATTTGCGTATGTTGAACCAGCCTTGCATCCCAGGGATGAAGCCCACTTGATCATGCTGGATAAGCTTTTTGATGTGCTGCTGGATTCGGTTTGCCAGTATTTTATTGATGATTTTTGCATCAATGTTCATCAAGGATATTAGTCTAAAATTCTCTTTTTTGGTTGTGTCTCTGCCTGGCTTTGGTATCAGGATGATGCTGGCCTCATAAAATGAGTTAGGGAGGATTCCCTCTTTTTCTATTGATTGGAATAATTTCAGAAGGAATGGTACCAGTTCCTCCTTGTACCTCTGGTAGAATTCGGCTGTGAATCCATCTGGTCGTGGACTCTTTTTGGTTGGTAAGCTATTGATTATTGCCACAATTTCAGAGCCTGTTATTGGTCCATTTAGAGATTCAACTTCTTCCTGGTTTAGTCTTGGGAGGGTGTATGTGTCGAGGAATTTATCCATTTCTTCTAGATTTTCTAGTTTATTTGCGTAGAAGTGTTTATAGTATTCTCTGATGGTAGTTTGTATTTCTGTGGGATCGGTGGTGATATCCCCTTTATCATTTTTTATTGCGTCTATTTGATTCTTCTCTCTTTTCTTCTTTATTAGTCTTGCTAGCGGTCTATCAATTTTGTTGATCCTTTCCAAAAACCAGCTCCTGGATTAATTTTTTGAAGGGTTTTTTGTGTCTCTATTTCCTTCAGCTCTGCTCTGATTTTAGTTATTTCTTGCCTTCTGCTAGCTTTTGAATGTGTTTGCTCTTGCTTTTCTAGTTCTTTTAATTGTGATGTTAGGGTGTCAATTTTGGATCTTTCCTGCTTTCTCTTGTGGGCATTTAGTGCTATAAATTTCCCTCTACACACTGCTTTGAATGTGTCCCAGAAATTCTGGTATGTTGTGTCTTTGTTCTCGTTGGTTTCAAAGAACATCTTTATTTCTGCCTTCATTTCGTTATGTACCCAGTAGTCATTCAGGAGCAGGTTGTTCAGTTTCCATGTAGTTGAGTGGTTTTGAGTGAGTTTCTTATTCCTGAGTTCTAGTTTGATTGCACTGTGGTCTGAGAGACAGTTTGTTATAATTTCTGTTCTTTTACGTTTGCTGAGGAGAGCTTTACTTCCAACTATGTGGTCAATTTTGGAATAGGTGTGGTGTGGTGCTGAAAAAAATGTATATTCTGTTGATGTGGGGTGGAGAGTTCTGTAAACTGGTTCAACCATTGTGGAAGTCAGTGTGGTGATTCCTCAGGGATCTAGAACTAGAAATACCATTTGACCCAGCCATCCCATTACTGGGTATATACCCAAAGGACTATAAATCATGCTGCTATGAAGACACATGCACACGTATGTTTATTGCGGCACTATTCACAATAGCAAAGACTTGGAACGAACCCAAATGTCCAACAATGATAGACTGGATTAAGAAAATATGGCACATATACACCATGGAATACTGTGCAACCATAAGAAATGATGAGTTCATGTCCTTTGTAGGGACATGGATGAAATTGGAAATCATCATTCTCAGTAAACTATCGCAAGGACAAAAAACCAAACACCGCATGTTCTCACTCATAGGTGGGAATTGAACAATGAGAACACATGGACACAGGAAGGGGAACATCACACTCTGGGGACTGTTGTGGGGTGGGGGGAATGGGGAGGGATAGCATTAGGAGATATATCTAATGCTAAATGACGAGTTAATGGGTGCAGCACACCAGCATGGCACATGTATACATATGTAACTAACCTGCACATTGTGCACATGTACCCTAAAACTTAAAGTATAATAATAAAATAAAATAAGAAAAATGCAAAAATTAAAAATTTAAAAAAAAGCTCTCATTCTTTTAAGCACTTACAGGATATTCTTACAGATGTGTACCACGCTTAATGAATTGAGCTCTTGTGGATGAGAGTTTAATTTGTTTCTAATCATTTGTTATTTAATAGTACAGTCAGCATCTTTAGGATTAAGTATCTAGAATTAGAACTACTGTGTTGAAGAGGCTATTGCATTTAAATTGTTTTTTTTTTTTTTTGATACGGAGTCTTGCTCTGTTGCCCAGGCTGGAGTGCAATGGCGTGATCTCAGCTCACCGCAACCTCCGCCTCCCAGGTTCAAGCAGTGCTCCTGCCTCAGCCTCCTGAGTAGCTAGGATTACAGGCACACGCCACCATGCCCGGCTAATTTTTGTATTTTTTTAGTAGAGACGGGGTTTCACCATGTTGGCCAGGCTGATCTTGAACTCCTGACCTTGTGATCTGCTCGCCTTGGCCTCCCAAAGTGCTGGGATTACAGGCATGAGCCACCGTGCCCGACCTACATTTAAATTTTAAATAAAAGTTTGCTAAATTGTTTTCAGTAGAGGTTATATTAATCTATATTTATACCAACATGGAGAGTTTGTTTCCTGCAAAATAGCCAATAATTTATCAAACCTTTGAATCTTTGTCAATTGAATAGTTAAAAATGATTATCTCATATTTGTACATTTTTATTTTATTGTGAAGTTCAGCACCTTTTCATGTGTTTAAGAACTTTTAATTTTCTGTTGTTTATATCGTCTTCCCATTACCATTTTAACTATTTGTTTTTATTTTCAGAGTTTTTGCTTATAAAATTTTATTTACAGTCAATTCTCTTTATTTGTAGAATCTGTATTTGTAAAGGCACCTACTTGCTAAAATTTATTTGTAACCTAACATCAATACTCATGGCAGTTTCATGGTTTTTCATGGACATACACAGAGGTGAAAAATTTGAGAACCTTATCCAGATATTCCCAGCTGGGGTTGAACAGTGCTCAGTTTTTTGTGTAGCTTTCTTACTATAAACAAGTGTCCTTTTCGAAAGCAGTTTATATAGTTCTACATTTTTCACATTTTTGTGCCTTCTGTTTGTGATTTTACTGTTTAAAGTGATTCCCAAGCATTGTGCTGAAGTGCTATATAGTGGTATTCCAAGGTGCATGCGGGCTGTGAGGTGCCTTAGAGAATACATGTGTTAGATAACCTTTGTTTAGTCATGAGTTATAGTGCTGTTGAGTGGGAGTTAGATGATGATGAGTCATCACTATTTATTATTATATTTTTTGAGATGGAGTCTCACTCTGTCACCCAGGCTGGAGTGCAATGGCATAATCTCGGCTCACTGCAACCTCCTCCTCCCGGGTTCAAACGATTCTCCTGCCTCAGTCTTCTCAGTAGCTGGGATTATAGGCACCCGCCACTGCACCCAGCATAATTTTTGTATTTTTAGTAGAGGTGGGGTTTTACCATGTTGGGTAGGCCAGTCTTGAACTCCTGACCTCAAGTGATCCACCCACCTTGGCATCCCAGAGTGCTGGGATTACAGATATGAGCCACCATGCCAGGTCTATATTTATTAAATAATGTGTCTTTAAACAGAAACAGATATAAAACAAGCTTACGTATTTATAAGTTGGTGAAAATGTGACCAAAGGCTTACAAGAACCTAACCCTGTATTTCTGTTAGGAGCAATGGCTCAGTATTCACTAATTTGCGTGTTTGTGGCAACTTCATAGAACATAACTACCTCAAGTAATGAGAATTGACTGCATTCTTTTTCAAGTCATTTTATAAACAATTTACAGAAGAATAAAGGGATGGTGAAAATTAACTTTGTTAGCAATTTTAATGAGAATCCAAATATAGGAGACCCACATTTTTTCCCATATTTTCCCAGTTTTGAATGTTTATGTATACCTAAAAGGCATTACATCCTTTGAAAGCAGCTGTCATTATGCATGAATCTGGAACATACCTACCTTTAAATACGGATTTTGGATTTCAAATGCATCTCTACTATGTTCTACCTTATTATTTGTATTCTTCATGAACTCACTTTGTCAAAATGCAATACTTTTTGTTTTTTAATTTATTTTTATTTTTTGTAGAAATAGGGTCTCACTGTGTTGCCCAGGCTGGCCTTGAACACCTGGCCTCAAGTGATCTTCCTGCCTTCCAAAGTGCTGGGGACGGTAGGCATGAGCCACCACACCTGTCCAAACTGCAATACTTCTGAAAACTTTAGGGCTCATAGTTTTGTTGAAGTGATAGATGATGGCTATATTCTTTGTTACATAACAGCAAAACATTTTTGTTTTTACATTTATAAATACCAATTAGAATGACTTTCAGTGGATTGGTTTTCATTTTTCACATCATCTTTACCTTCCTGTTACTTTGTGTACATATCTGTCTTTCATACTTGTCCACTTACAAACTTTTTCAAGTAAATTCTGGTGTTACAAGCATAAAAGATGAAAGAACGTTGTCACATGGTCACTTGTCCTTTTAGCAATTATGCGATGATTCAACTGTTCTAGGTACAACTAGAGGGAGAGTATCCCAGGCAAGGGAGATAACAAATAGAAAGGCCCTAAGACACAAGTGTATTTAACATGTTTGGGGAACAACAAGGAGTTAATCGTGGCTGGAGTGGAAGTAAGGAGGAGAGATTAAGGAGATGGAGCTAAGAGAGGTAGTCAAGGGCCAGGCCATATGTCAGCGATAGTAAGGTCTTCAGCATTTACTTTTTTAAGCTGGGAGTCCATGGAAAGGTTTTGAACCCAAGGTATAGCATGATCTGACTTACAGAAAGAGACTTCTGATTGCTGTGTTGAAAATACACCATAGGTTTGAAGGGAGGAAACAGGCTGACTAGTTAGAGCCAGTGTGGGTAGTGGTGGTTGGATCTGAGTATATTTTCCAAGTGGAGCCACCAGGATTTTTCAGTAGATTGATTACATGTGGTGTATGAAAGAGGAGTGTCAAGTGTAACTCCGAGATTTTTGGCTTATGCAACTGGAAAAATAAAGTTAGAATTTAATGAGATGGAGGTCTGCATAAGGAGTACTTTTGTGGCAGGAAAGAAATTGGGTTTTGAACATGTGAAAATTGAGATGCCCATTAGTAGAAGTTGGATGTGAATAAAGAGTCCAGGCCAGGTGCAATGCCTCATGCCTGTAATCTCAGCACTTTGGGAGGCCAAGGCAGGAGAATCATGTGAGCCCAGGAGTTCAAGACCAGACTGGGCAACAAAGTGAGACCCCGTCTATATTATAAAATAAAAAAATAGTTCAGAGGAGAGGTCTGGGCTAGAGATGGAAATGTAGAAGTTAGTAAATTTAAAGCTGTTGAACTAGAGGAGATAGCTGAGGAAGTGCATTCAAATAGAGAAGATGTCAGAGGAGAACTTTGGGGTTCTCTCAGTGGTTAGAGATAGGATATGAGGAAAAACAGTGCAGGAGACTAAGGAGGAGCTCTCATTGAGTTAGGAAAATCAAGAGGGATGCCCTGGAAGCCAAATGAAGGCAGTGTTTTGAGGAAGAGGGGTGATGGGCCATGTGAAAGCCAATAGGTCACATGCTGCTAATGGGTCAACTAAAGTGAGGACTGAGAAGTATTCACCAATTTAGCAATGTGGAGCTCATTGGTGACCCTCATAAGAGCTGTGTTGGTGGAATGGAGGAGGTAAAATCCTGGAGGGAGAGAACATAAGAATGAGAGAACAGTTGACAGTGCATGTAAACAACTCTTTCACGGAACTTTGTATTTCTGAATTTTTGTTTATTTGGCTATTAATAAAATCATATCTGATATAGTTTTATTTTAGTAAGGTTTGTTTTTGTGGGACTTCAGTTGTGTATACACATATAATATGTGTGTGTATGTATGTGCGTATGGTGTTTTGATGTAAAATTTATTATTGTGGGTCATGGTTAAAAAAAAAGCTTGAGAATGAGGAGTTAGATCAAGAAATAGAAGGAAAGTTGACATAAGAAGTTGTGGATGTAGGAGATTCTACCATGTAGACACAGTGGAAGGATTTAGGGAGTTGGAGCAGGTTGGGATATGTGATCAGAAAGCGGGAGTTTAGCTCTCTCACTTGCCCCTGCTTTTACCATGTGATGTGTCTGCTACCCCTTCACCTTCCACCATGACTGTAAGCTTCCTGAGGTCTCCCTAGAAGCCAAGCAGATGCCAGCACCATGCTTCCTGTAAAGCCTGCAGAACCATGAGCCAATTAAACCTCTTTGTAAATTACCCAGTTTGAGGTATTTCTTTATAGCAGTGCAAGAATGCCCCAATACAGAAAATTGGTACCGAGAAGTTGGGCATTGCTATAAAGATACCTGAAAATGTGGAAACAGCTTTGGAACTGGGTAATGAGTAGTGGTTGGAAGAGTTTACAGGGCTCAGAAGAAGACAGGAAAATGAGGGTAAGTTTCAAACTTTTTTTTTTTTTTTTTTTTGAGACGGAGTCTTGCTCTGTCGCCCAGGCTGGAGTGCAGTGGCGTGATCTTGGCTCACTGCAACCTCTGCCTCCCGGGTTCAAGTGATTTTCTGCCTCAGCTTCCCAAGCAGCTGGGGTTACAGGCATGCACCACCATGCCTGGCTAATATTTTTGTATTTTTAGTAAGGATGGGGTTTCACCATGTTGGCCAGGCTGGTCTCGAACTCCTGACCTCAAGTGATTCACCCACCTCGACCTCCCAAAGTGCTAGGTTTACAGGCGTGAGCCACTGCTCCCGGCAAGTTTGGAACTTCTTAGAGACTAGATAAGTGGTTGTGACCAAAATGCTGATGGTGATAGGGACAGTGAAGTCCAGGTTGACAAGGTCTCAAAAGGAAACGAATTTATTGGGAACTGGAGCAAAAGTCACACGTTATGCCTTAGCAAATAACTTGGCTGCATTCTGCTTGTGTCCTAGGGATCTGTGGAAGTTTGAACTTAAAAACTATGACCTAGCGTATGTGGCAGAAGAAATTTCTAAGCAGCAAAGCATTCAAGATGTGGCCTTCTGCTACTAACAGCCTGTGCTCAGATGTGGGGGCAAATGAATGACTTAAATTTGGAACTTACATTTAAACAGGAAGCAGAGCCTAAAAGTTGGGAAATTTTGCAGCCTAGCCAGGTGGTAAAAAAAAAAAACCATTTTCTCCAAGGAATTCAAGCAGGCTGTGGAGCAACCACTTGCTGATATTTGCATAACTGAAAGGGATCCAAGTGGTAATATCCAAGACAATGGGGAAAAGGCCTCAAAGGCATTTCAGAGACCTATGGGGCAGCCCCTCCTGTCATAGGCCCTGAAGCCAAGGAAGACTGAATATTTTCCTGGGCTGAGCCCAGGGCCCTGTTGCCCTGTGCAGCCTCAGAACACTGCTCCCTGCATCCAGATGGCTCCAACTCCAGCAGGGGCTCAAAGGGGCCTAGGTACAGCTTGGGCTGTTACTTTGGAGGGCATAAGCCATAGCCTTCACAGCTTCCATTAGGTGGTAAGCCTGCAGGCACACAGAATGCAAAAATGGTGAATTCTTGGTAGCCTCTGCCTGGATTTCAGAGGATGTATGGAAAAGCCTGGGTGTCCAAGCAGAACCCTGCTGCAGGAGCAGAGCCCTCACAGAGAGCCTCTACTAGGGCAGCGTGGAGGGGAAATGTGGGGTTAAAGGCCCCACGCAGAGTCCCTACTGGGGCACTGCCTAGTGGAGCTGTGAGAAGAGGGCTACTGTTCTCCAGAATGGTAGAGCCACTGGCAGCTTGTACCCTGCACTTGGAAAAGCCACAGACACTCAACCCAGCCTGTGACAGCAGGCTGAACTCTGCAAAGCTATAGGAGCAGAGCTGCCCAAGGCCTTGGGAGCCCAACCCTCATATCAGCGTGCCACATGGAAACCAAGGAGATCATTGTGGAGTTTCATGATTTAATGACTGCCATGCTGGGTTTTGAACTTGCATGGGGCCTATAGCCCCCTTTTTTGGCAGGTTTTTCCCTAATGGGAATATTTCCCCAATCCCTGAACCCTGATTGTATGTTGGAAGTAAATAATTTGTTTTTTATTTTATAGGCTCATAGGTGGCAGGGATTTGCCTTGTCTCAGATGAGACTTTGGATTCCTGAGTTAATGCTGGAATGAGTTAAGACTTTGCGGCACTGTTGGGAAGGCATGGTTGTATTTTGCATTGTGAAAAGGACATAAGATTTGGGAGGGGCCAGAGGTGGAATGATGTGGTTTGGATATTTATCTCTACTTATGTTGAATTTTATCCCGAGTGTTGGAGATGGGGCATGGTGGGAGGTGTTTGGATCATGGGGGCAGATCCCTCATGGCTTGGTGTTACCTTTGTGTTGCTACTGAGTTCTCGTGAGATCTGGTCATTTAAAAGTGTATGAAACCTGCCCCCTGCCCCCGCACTGTCTCTCACTTGTTTCTGCTTTCATCATGTGACATGTGTGCTCACCTTCTGCCATGATTTTAGTTTCCTGAGGCCTCCCTAAAAGCCGAGCAGATGCCAGCACCATGCTTCCTGTAAAGCCTGCAGAACCGTGAGTCAACTAAACCTCTTTTCTTTATGAAAGAAAAGGAAGGAAGGGAGAGAGGGAAGGAGAAAAAGAGAGAGGGAGAGATGGATGGAGGAAGGGAGGGAGGGCTTACAACCATGAGGACAGTTTTTAGGTCAATGAGGGATGACTTGGGAGTCCTATGAAGACTGATGTAAACTAGAATAAAGGGCATGATGAGCTTATGATTCAAAAGTATTTTGTCATAGAAATAGTTTGTTTTCTGTAAAAGAACACAGTAAATATTTTAGCTTTGTAGGCCACTGAGTCTCTGTTGCTTTAAAAAATGTGAAAACCATTCTTAGCTTGAGGGCTGGACAGTCCAGGGCCATACTTTACTGACCGCTGCTTGAACTAAACGCTGTTAGAAGCAGCTCTGGAAAAATAATTTGCATGGAATCTTATGATTTTTTTTTTTTTTTTTTTTTTTTTTGAGGCAGAATTTTGCTCTTGTTGCCCAGGCTAGAGTGCAATAGCGCGTTCTTGGCTCACTGCAACCTCCGCCTCCTGGGTTCAAGCAATTCTCCTGCCTCAGCCTCCCGAGTAGCTGGGATTACAGGAAGGCACCACCATGCGTGGCTAATTTTGTATTTTTAGTAGAGACAAGGTTTCTCCATGTTGGTCAGGCTGGTCTCGAACTCCCAACCTCAGGTGATCCACCCGCCTCGGCCTCCCAAAGTGCTGGGATTACCAGCGTGAGCCACTGCACCTGGTCAAGTATCATGGTTTTTTAATAGTATGCACACATGGGACAAAACTCAACTGGTATAAAAGGGTATGCAGGAGAAAAAAAGCAAACTTCCCTCTCTCCCTTTTCTGTCCACCAGCCATCCTGTTCTCCTCCCTAAACTCAATTATGGTTGCCTGTTTTTTATATAAGTTTTCCATGAATTTATAAATACATCACGTGCATATATCCTGTCAGTCAATATTAAGAAATTACTAGGTTATTTTGTGTTTATGTGTGCACTATTAGATTTAATGAGTTATGCTAGTTGTTGCCTCTTATATCCACATTCAGTCTTCATTGTCTGTTCTGTAATAATAGATCTGGGCCCTGTAAATACCTCTCCCATGACAGTAAGCACAGAGTGAAACTTTGTCAATCGAGGGTGCTGCTGACACACTGAAGGGGCAAGGGCTGCTTTTCCTGGTTCCATTGTGCTCCTCTAGGCAGACACCTGCAACACCTGTGCCATCTGCAATACCAGCTCCTGTAGCACATACACTCTGCCTCTGCAGCACCTCGTTCTGGCTGCACACTTCTTGGGCGGTGCCTAACTTCAGCAGCACCCAATGGTCAGCAGCGCACAGTACCCCCACATGAATGGCTTCCCTTGACATGCACAAGGTCCCTTCTCTGCAAAGTGCCCCAAGCCCAGCACCTTCTCCAGCTGCAACTCCACAGCCTCAGCAAACCTCTGTCTTTCACAGCTGTGTCCTCTCACACGAAGTCTGGATCTCAGCCCGGATCTCAGCCCTGAGCTTTCTTCTTTGAGTTGTTCTGTCTCAGCCTGGGGTGAAAAGCCCATATCGGCTGTTCCCTGCATCTGCCCAGGCTTCTCTTTATTCCTTACTACCCAATCCCCATTCCAGTCCTCTGTTAATAACTCTTACGGACAGTCCCCAACTCATGATGACTTGACTTAGGATTTTTCTACTTTGCAATGGTGCAAAAGTGATCCGCATTCAGTAGAAACTGTTCCTCAAGTACTCATACGACCTCTATTTTTCACTTTCTGTACAGTATTCAATAAATTGCGTGAGATTTTCAATACTTTATTATAAAATAGGCTTTGTGTTTATGATTTTGCCCAACTGTAAGCTAATATAAGTGTTCTCAGCGTGTTTAAGGTAGGTCAGGTTAAGCGATGATGTTTGGTAGTTTAGGTATATTAAATGCATTTCTGACATACAATATTTTCTACTTACAATGGGTTTTTCAGGATATAACCCTGTTGTAAGTTGAGGAGCATCTTATTTTATTTATTTATTTATTTATTTGAAATGGAGTCTTGCTCTGTCACCCAGGCTGGAGTGCAGTGGCACGATCTTGGCTCACTGCAACCTCTGCCTCCTGGGTTCAAGCAATTCTCCTGCCTCAGCCTCCCAAGTAGCTGAGACTACAGGTGCACACCACCATGCCTGGCTTTTTTTTTTTTTTTTTTAATTTTTTTTTGTATTTTTAGTAGAGACAGGATTTCACCATGTTGGCCAGGCTGGTCTCGAACTCCTGACCTCAAGTGATCTGCCCACCTCGGCCTCCCAAAGTGCTGGAATTACAGGCGTGAGCCACTGCGTCAGGCCGAGCATCTGTATATTAAACTTTCCCCATTCAAATTTCTGTGTGGTTTCTGTCTCCTGACTGGATTCTGATATAATGCTTAACAACCTTTCTAATTACAAAGGTATTACATATAAAATCAGACAAGCAAGAAGACAATCCATCCCACCTTCTAGTACTCTTGCCCTCCAGAGGTAGCTCCAGTTAATATTTTAGTGCTAAACTAGATTTATTTTTGTTTTAAATAGAAAAATAATGCAGGCACGAAAGTAAAACAAAAAACAGTACAGAATGGGAGAGACTGAAAAGTAAGAATGGCTTCCAGGCCCACTTCCTAGAGGTACGCACTATTAACATTTTTAGATATAAACTTCCAGAAATTTTTTTCCAGTTTTATTTAGGTATAATTGACAAAATTATTTATATTTCAGTTGTACAACATGGATGTTCAACATGTTTTGGTGTACATATACTTTCTGATATTATAAATGGTTACCACAAGCAAGCTCAGTAACATATTCAGAAATTCTTAATGTAGCTAGCAATATAAGTGGTTTTGTTTTTTGTTTTGAGACAGACAGGGTCTTGCTCTGTTGCCCAGGCTGGAATGCAGTGGCGCCATCTTGGCTCACTGCAACCTCTGCCTCCCGGGTTCAAGCAAGTCTTGCGTCTCAGCCGCCCTAGTGGCTGGGACTACAGGCATGTGCCACCACACCTGGCTAATTTTTGTATTTTTAGTAGAGATGGGGTTTCACCATGCTGGCCAGGCTGGTCTCGAATTCCTCACCTCAAATGATTCGCCCGCCTCAGCCTCCCAAAGTGCTGGGATTACAGGTGTGAGCCACCGCACCCAGTCATAAGTGGTTTTCTAAACAAATGAGACCACACCATACATACTGTCCCTATATTTCATACTTGGGCAAGGGGAGGGGAGTTGACTTTTTTCTTAGTGAGAATAAAAATGAGGATAAAAGTATGGTTGTTTACCAACTTATAGTAGTATCATGAATTTCGAATGGTCTTCTGGCCGTTCAGAAAACTACTTAACTGGTAGGAACGAAATTCTGGACACTGACATTGATATAGACACTCATATCAAATATAATACTATGAAATACTATGATATGGAAATAATATGCAATCACTAGAGATAAAATATTTTCTACCCAAGTAGAGTGGATTCATAAGAAAATTCTAAATTATAGCATATGTTGAACTCTGAGAAGCCTCTGGAATGAAGTCATTTTTCCCTAACCCCTGTTTCCTCTTTATATTGGCAGTGGATAAATGGAAAGTAAGTTAACTCTACTGTACCAAAGCTAGTTCAATATAGAAAACAGGTTCTACAAGGATTAAGGAACATCTCTTGGCCCACAGAAGATTCATGTGGATCCTGTGTTAAACCCGTTTCATCCATGTATGAAAGTGATTCAACCGTTAAGTTAGCCATTTATTATATAAATTGAATACTTCTTCCATATTGTGGCTTTTAGATAGATTGGCAGACCTGTCCCCAACCCCTTCCCTGTTGACCATGGACAATGGAGGGTTTGCTGTATAAACTTGATTGAAGGGTTTGCCTTTAGCTGGGGTGGATTACTCAGGGACCTCAAAGGTATTGGTGATGATTTATTTCTTGAGCTTGGTGGTGAGTATGCAGGACTGTGTTTTGTTTTGTTTTGTTTTTTAGCAAGCCTTACACATTTTCTTTTGTATGCAATATTTAATAAAATAATTTTGGATAATTTGGTTTTTAGCATTAATCAACAACTTTTTTTACATCCTCAATATGCCCCAAGACAAATTATTGATTCAGCAGTTTTTAGCTGAATCTTTTATTTCTGAATGATTGGAGAGAACGGCAGTATCCATTTCTGGAGAATAGTTAAGTACTTAGATTGAGGATGTCTTTCTTTCATGACATTAAGCAATGCAATATCATCTGCATCCAAGAGCCAACTTAACATGTTCAGTCTAATGAGCCTTGGTAGTCGTAACACACATTGACTCAAAGACTTGACTGTTGTGGCCTGAGCTTTGATACACTCTGTGAAATGCCTGGAGATGTCCAACTCCTGCAAGTTTGGCATGTTGTCCAGTGCTTGAAAGAAATTTCTGTATCCTTCCTCTGTAATCTTGTGATTGATTGAAAGCTTTAGGTTCTCAAGTTTCTGGAAACCTCCACTGATTGCTACTTTGGCTACAAGAACAAAACATTCATGAAAATAGAATCATAAGGACTTCCATTTCAATAATGGTAGACAAGGTTATTTGAACCAGCCTCCTCTCCCACCACTACTGCTAGTAGGAAGTACTCAATATAATTTTGTTTTTTGAAATGGGGTCTTGCTATGTTAACACAGGCTGGTCTCTTTTTCTTTCTTTCTTTTTTTTTTTTTTTTTTTTTTTTTTTTTTGAGATGGAGTCTCGCTCTGTTACCCAGGCTGCAGTGCAGTGGCATGATCTCAGCTCACTGCAACCTCCGCCTCCCAGGTTCATGCCATTCTCCTGCCTCAGCCTCCCGAGTAGCTGGGACTACAGGCGCCCGCCACCATGCCCAGCTAATTTTTTGTATTTTTAGTAGAGACGGGGTTTCACTGTGTTAGCCAGGATGGTCTCGATCTCCTGACCTTGTGATCCACCCGCCTTGGCCTCCCAAAGTGCTGGGATTACAGGCGTGAGCCACCGCGCCTGGCCATCACAGGCTGGTCTCAAACTCGTGGACTCAAGTGATCCTCCTGCCTCAGCTTCCCAAGTAGGTGGGATTACAAGCACGTGTCACTGTGCCCAGCTTAATATAATATTTTGAAAATATCTCCTTAAAAACCCCAAAGAGCTGATGGGTTAATAAAGAACCACCTGGCAAAAATCTAAGGGAGAAGCAGAAACCAAAGAAGTACAGCCAAGCCTAAAGCACTGACGCCATTGTGCTGAGAGTTTCACCATCCTGGACAAATATGAGCTTCTCTTTTGGTCTCACAGGAGGTCACATGCCAAGGTACATCATGCCTACAAACCAGACTAAATTGGCAAGTCACAGTGGCTCACGCTTGTAATCCCAGCATTTTGGGAGGCCGAGGTGGGTAGATCACTTGAAGTCAGGAGTTCGAGACCAGGCTGGCCAACATGGTGAAACCCCATCTCTACTAAAAATACAAGAATCAGCCGGATATGGTGGTACATGCCTGTAATCCCAGCTACTCGGGAGGCTGAGGCAGGAGAATCAGCTTGAACCTGGGAGGTAGAGGTTGCAGTGAGCCAAAATCCCACCACTGCACTCCAGCCTGGGTGACAGAGCAAGACTCCGTCTAAAAAACAAAAAGAGAAAACAAAAAAAAAAAAATCCAGACTAAATTACAAGGGACTTCAAAGAGTGTAGCAATTATGTCTTCCCCTTTTATAGAGAAGGGGGTGTGACATTCCTAAAGCCATGTCATCCGACTGTCCACTGCTATGCCCTATTTCTGTTGCCCAGAAGGGACCCTCCTGTTTTTGAGACTAAGGGCTCTGAAGGAAATGGAAGCCGGGCACACCCTGTGTTCTCAATGAACACAGGCTGACTAGACTTTGGAATGGGTACCAAGCAGAGTTCTTGTTGTTTGGTTTAGGGGTTTTTAAAAAAAAAAAAATTTTTTTTTTTGAGACAGGGTGTCACTTGGTTGCCTAGGCTGGAGTGCAATGGTTCAGTTATAACTCACTGCAGCCTAGAATTTCTGGGCTCAAGCAATCCTCCCGCCTCAGCCTCCTGAGTCCTAGCTACTCAGGACTAGCCACCGTGCTTGGCTAATTTTTCAATTTTTTATGGAGACAAGGTCTTGCTATGTTGCCCAATCTTGTCTCAAACTCCTGGCCTCAAGCAGTCCTTCTATCTTGGCCTCCCAACGTGTTGGGATTACAGGCATGAGCCACCATGCCCAGCCTTGTTTTTAATTGCTAAACCTCTTTTTTTTTCTAACTTGGGCAAAGGTTAAGTTTGGTTTCAATCTAGAATCCATGGCTGTAGCTTGACTGAGGTTAAACAACAGAGGTACTGAGAAAATGTCTTCAGCTATGTCCTGAATAGGTATCTTCAGTAACATTCAAGAGATATTTCTCATTCCCCCACATGAAAGACACTTCTGGAGGGACTTGAAGAAAGACTCAGGTCTTTCACATCCATTCCCTTCTTTCCCCTGTTTCAGCATAACTCCCACTTCATATTGTGTGATTAGCCGGTTCTGTGATGTGTCTGAATGCTGTCTCCTACAGGTAAAGTTTAAGCATTACTGACTATAGGCAAACAATGGCCTCTCAGCTGTCCATCAGAAGAAGCTACAGAAAAGTAAGTTTTCTTTATTCAGTCAACAAATATTTACTGAGTTCCCACTATAGGCCAGGCATACTCTGCTGGGCGCCGGGAAGAGAAAACACCTGCTCTCAGGAGGGAGAGCGACAGGGGTTACTGGCTCAAATCTGTGTGTGAGATTGAAGTTCTAAGGAAGGCTTTGACCTAATGTAGTGAGAAGAATAAAACACAAATAATTTATAGTAAATGAGGATGAGAGAGACCACAAAATTTAATGTTATTAAATTCTTCCTCATAAGGAGGAAGAAACAAGGCCTTTAAGAAAAACGTTGTAAGTTGTCATTGTTTTTTGTTTTTTGTTTTTTTTTTTGAGACGGAGTCTCGTTCTGTTGCCCAGGCTGGAGTGCAGTGGCATGATCTTGGCTCACTTCAAGCTCCACCTCCCGGGTTCACACCATTCTCCTGCCTCAGCCTCCCGAGTAGCTGGGACTACAGGTGCCCGCCATCACGCCTGGCTAATTTTTTGTATTTTTAGTAGAGACGGGGTTTCACCATGTTAGCCAGGATGGTCTCGATCTCCTGACCTCGTGATCCATCCGCCTCGGCCTCCCAAAGTGCTGGGATTACAAGCTTGAGCCACCGCTCCCAGCTGTTTTAAATAACGTAAAATAACAGTGCTGAGCAGTAAGAAAATGAGATCCAGCCCTTGTAACACACCCGACAAAGCCTCTCCAATTGGGCTTTTACTTTCCTCTCCAGTCTTCTTCTCACAACTCACTCCTGCCTCTTGCTCCAGACATTCCTTTTTTTCCCCCAAGTTCTTCAAATATATCTGGTTCTCTTTAACTCCAGGCTATGACACAAGTGATTACCTCTGTTTGAAATGATGTCTCAATTCCTCCTCTACCAACTATGCCTGGGCCATTCTCCCTTCAGGTCTCGACAGAAATCTCAGTTCCTCAGGCCAGGCACTGTGGCTCACTTGAGGTCAGGAGTTCGAGACTAGCCTGGCCAACATGGTGAAACCCTGTGTTTACTAAAAATACAAAATTAGCCAGGTGTGGTGGCGTTCACCTGTAATCCTAGCTACTTGGGAGGCTGAGGCAGGAGAATCGCTTGAACCCAGGAGGCAGAGTTTGCAGTGACCCGAGATCGTGCCATTGTACTCCAGCCTGGGCAACACGAGCGAAACTCTGTCTCAAAAAAAAAAAAAAGAAGAAAATAAGAAAATAAAATTCAGTGAGCAGTACACATGATTTTTGTACTTTTCTGTGTGTATATTCATCTTCAGTTTTAAAAAGGAGTACTTAGGAGAGTATGTGGCCAGGTGTCTAAAACACCAGGTGGCAAGAACGCAGATTTGAGGGCTTGTATATCCACAAATGGGAGACCTTTTTGTACTTCCAAATCTGACCAGAATGCGCCTAAATCCACAGAAGGACACTAGAAGGAACAGTATGATAGTGAAAATGAGGAAGCGGGTTGAAAATTTCTAGAGGGGCAAATGTTTACATAGACATGTTGCAGCAGAAAGCTTGGCTATACCACTGGCTTCCATGCAAGCTGAAACACTAGCTCACCAATTTCCACCACGCTGTCATCATTCAAAGTCTTGAAAAATGAGAGGACTCGGAGACAATGAAGCTGCTGACACTGCTGGATGATCAGTTTGGCCACTCGATAAATTCCATCCCCAGTAGGAAGGATCAATTCTTCCAGGTTACTAAGAGAACCTAAAATGTAGGCTGTCAGAAAAGACCAAAAAGCTATTCTCTTTGTACTTTTTGTTCCTATGCAACAGTAATCTGAAAATCATGTATGGTCTAAACATCATGCACAGTCCAGGAAGCAAGAGAAGGGCCAGCACATGCTTCCGTCTTCCTCGCTCCTCCAGACAATTCCTCCACCACACCCTACCAACCAATCTCTCCTGCACTAAAGTCCAGGCTGCCAATTAAATCTCCATTCCTCGTTTAGAATGAAGCTTTTCCTGACCTGCAGGTTCCTTTCCCAGCTCTGCAATGCCTTCAGCCACCTCCTTTCCCATTCCACCTCCCGCTGTCATGCTCAGTGATTCTGCACCGGCCTCCTGGCCCTAAAGCCTCACAGTCCACCACTCTTAGAACCTTCCTTTTCACTTCGACTCCTTCCTAGCATGGCACACGATAGATCATTTGATCATTAGAAAGGTAACTTCTGAGGCCTCACACATGGAAATATATTGAATAATTTCTAGCATAAATCAATGTCCCAGGCTTATCATTTTCTTTCCCTGTCTCAGTTCTTGAATCAGCCAATTTTGCAAGGACCCTGGTTCCTTTACGGAAGGACAGGATTTAGAAATCAGTATCTAGGCACTTGGTGTGTTCATTATTACTGCAGTGCCTTCTAGTCTCTCCACTGAGCTGAGAAATATGTATGTGTGTATCTATAGACATGTGGAGATCAATGTATATATATGGAGATCTCTATGTATGTTCATAGGTTAGAAAAAACCATGAGGCCAGACCAATATTTCCAATTCTAATCCAACACCTCAAAGCTCTTTCTAGCCTCACCTTTCAATATTTGTAAGTTCCTTTTCCAACTGTGAGGAAACGTGGCTCTCATTATACTCACTGTTTTGTTCGTTTGTTTGTTTTTGAGACAGAGTCTTGCTCTGCCACCCAGGCTGGAGTACAGTGACCTGATCTTGGCTCACTGCAATCTCTGCCTCCGAGGTTCGAGAGATTCTCCTGCCTCAGCCTCCCAAGTAGCTGGGACTACAGGCATGTGCCACCACGCCCAGCAAATTTTTGTATTTTTTAGTAGAGATGGGGTTTCACCATGTTGGCCAGGCTGGTCTTGAACTCCTGACCTCAGGTGATCCACCCACCTCGGCCTCCCAAAGTGCTGGGATTACAGGTGTGAGCCACTGCATCTGGCTATACTCACTGTATTATTTGCTTAATCAACCTATGATGTATGCCAGCCATCCCCTTGGCCCTGATCCTACCTCTGCCACCTCAGCCCCCACCCACCTAGCTGCCTCCAAGGAAGGGAAGAGGAGGATCCTGGCAATCTTTATGTACGCTTATGTTTGAGAAGCACTTTGAATAGCACAGCTCTACAGTCCCTATCTCCACTGCCTCCCTTTATTTTTTTTTTTTCCTGTTAGAATGTTTTCCATGAGCATACATTACTTTCATAATCGTTTTTTAAAAATCAAAAAGTATTTAAATTCTATAGCTATCATTTTATGAAATACACGTTTTCACGTATTGAGTTTTCCTAACCTTAAAAGATAGATTTTTACCTATATTCTAGTAACCTTTGAAACTATGAGGTCTTATATTTGGAACAGATACCTGACAATTATATTGCATAGTGCTATAATGACCAAATATGTACTCTAAGAAGTCATTCTGCTTTGAATGAGATCAAGTCTGCAGGTAAAACTGTAGTGAAGGCATTTGGTGGGTAGAAGTTGAGCATGACTATCACTTCGTTCTGGTAAGCAAGGGTAGCTAATGCATATCTTGCTTCCTTGTGGCTAATTCAGAATAGGAGAAAAAGGATTCTGGGCAGAAAGAGAATAAGAATACGTAAAAAGCACTATTTTGTAAACATACCAAATTTTTCTGATGTTTCCTCATCAGGAAATTGCTGGCCTTCAAGATTTAATATCTTCAGAGAAATAAAATTTGGCAAACTGGCAACTATGAAAGGGAAAATAAAAATTTAGTTATGTCAGCTACATCTCTCACAGCAAAGTGTAACATCTTTAAAATGAAGAAATTAGAAATTAATGTAATAATTCAGATTGAATTCATATGACTAAGTAGATAAAACAAATTTTTGCTCAGAAAATAATTCTGATAACTAGAAATGTTGTTAAAATTCTAGAAATTTCAAATCCAACTGAGCGTAAAGGTAAAAAAGAAAATTCTGGAAACACCTATACTTTATTATTTGAGAAACAATTTTTCTTTTCTTTCTTTCTTTTTTTAAAGAGACAAGGTCTGTGTCACCCAGGCTGGAGTGCAGTGATACCATCACAGCTCGCTGCAGCTTCAACCTTCTGGGCTCAAGTAATCTTCCTGCCTTAGCTTCCCTAGTAGCTGGGACTATAGGTACCACTGTGCCCGACTGATTTTTTTAAAGCTTTTTAGAGGTGGAGGGCTTGTTATGTTGCCCAGACTGGTCTCAAACCCCTGACCTCAAGCAAGCCTCCTGCCTCAGCTTCCCAAAGTGCTGGGATTACAGGCATGAGCCACCACACCCAGCCTCAAAATATGGCCCTTTTTAAAGAGTGCTTAATATGACTCTGTGTCCATAGAAACATTTTAAACCACCATTGTAATATTATAACTCTTACCAAATGGGACGGCTTGAAAAAATGAATCCGAAAACTTAATTTCTGTGAGTTTCTTACAGGAAACAAGCATAGTCATGAGAGACCCAAAATCCGAAAAGAAGTTACACTTCAGATGGAAAACATGAAGGTTTGGAGAATTTTGAATTAATTTTACTGTAAAAGATCAAGGATTTTCAGAAATTAGAAAATACTGCAAATTTCTATCAAAATTAGCCAAGTAGTTTATTATTTTGTTTCAATAATACTTAATTAAAACCAGGTACCACGATCTCATGATCTAAGAATCAGGTCACTGGGCTTGGGTTCAGGTTCTGCAACTAGCAAGTAATGTGAATTTTGACACATTATTGACCCTCTCTGGGTAACAGTTTTCTCTTCTATAAAATACAAGCATTGACTCAGTAGCATCACCTTCAGCTTTAACACCTAATAACTCTAAGTTTGTACATGACATTTACACAATAAGAATACAAAGAGGCCAGGTGCTGTGGCTCATGCCTGTAATCCCAGCACTTTGGGAGGCCGAGGCAGGTGGATCATCTGAGCTCAGGAGCTCGAGACCAGCCTGGCCAACATGGTGAAACCCTGTCTCTACTAAAAATACAAACATTTGCCAGGCGTGGGTGGCAGGCAGCTGTAATCCCAGCTACTCGGGAGGCCGAGGCAGGAGAATCGCTTGAACCCAGGAGGCAGAGGTTGCAGTGAGTGGATATTGCGCCACCAAACTCCAGCCTGGGCAACAGAGCAAGACTGCATCTCCAAAAAAAAAAAAAAAAAAAAAAAAAGAATACTATACAAAGAAACAGCTGGGCATAGTGGCTCACGCCTGTAATCCTAGTACTTTGGGAGGCTGAGGTGGGCGGATCACCTGAGGTCAGGAGTTTGAGACTGGCCTGGCCAACATGGTGAAACCCCGTCTCTACTAAAAATATTAAAAAATTAGCCGGGCATGGTGATGGGCGCCTGTAATCCCAGCTACTTGGGAGGCTGAGGCAGGAGAATTGCTTGAACCCAGGAGACGGAGGTTGCAGTGAGCTGACAACGGTGCCACTGCACTCCAGCCTGGGTGACAGATTGAGACTCTGTCTCAAAAAAAAAAAAGAAACATAAAAGGAATGACAACTCTGAAGCAAAACCTAAATTTGTTGCAAAATTTGCTGACAAATATAACTACCACCTCCAGCTTCGGTGTATATATGTATGCACACACACACACACACACATATATATATATATTTTTTTTTTTTTTTTTTTTTTGAGACAGGGTCTTGCTCTATCACCTAGGCTGGAGTGCAGTGGCATGATCATAGCTTATTGCAAGCTTGAACTTCTGGACTCAAGTGATCCTACCAGCCTCCTGAGTAGCTGGGGACTATAGGTGCACACCATCATACTTGGCTAATTTTTTATTTTTTTAGTAGAGACGATGTCTTGCTATATTGCCCAGCCTGGTGCTGAACTCCTGCTCTCAGGCGATCCTCCCGCCTCGGCCACCCAAAGTGCTAAGATTACAGGTGTGAGTCACTGTGCCTGGCCAACAATGAAGCTTTTGCATGCAAGTCTTTATGTCAATTCCATAGAGTTGTATATTTCTTCAATCTTTAGTGTTCAGTGTTTACTAAGTTAAGGAATGATGGTGCCTAAGTCATTTAGCTAAATGATGTATTTAAGAAAGATGGCTGCACCATTTTCCATGAACTATTAGGATAGGCTGGTGAGAAACAGGGAAATACTTCCAATGACTACGGATTAGCAGATTTCCTTCCTGCTGAGCTGCCAGATCTGTAAGTTGCAATGTAAGACCAGCCTAACCAAAAACAAAATAAAATAACCCTACAAATTATTTTGGAGTGGCAACATTATATTAGGGATTTCTTTCTTTTTTTTTTTTTTTTTCTGAGATGGAGTTTTGCTCTTGTTCCCCATGGAGTTTTGCTCTTGTTCCCCATGGAGTTTTACTCTTGTTCCCCAGGCTGGAGTACAATGGCGCGATCTCGGCTCACATTGCAATCTCTGCCTCCCAGGTTCAGGTAATTCTCCTGCTTCAGCCTCTCAAGTAGCTGGGATTACAGGCATATGCCACCATGCCAGCAAATTTTTGCATTTTTAGTAGAGGCAGGGTTTCACCATGTTGGTCAGGCTGGTCTCGAACTCCTGACCTCAGGTGATCTGCCCTTCTCGGCCTCCCAAAGTGCTGGGATTACAGGTGTGAGTCACCAGGCCCGGCCTATATTAGGGATTAAGAACTCAGATTTTGGAGTCAAAATTCCTGTATTTGAGTCACAGATATACATTTCCTTAGCTGGATATTACGAATTACTTTATCTCTTTATGTCTCAGTTTTCCCAGCTACAAAATAGCATTAATAATAGTACTTTACTTTGGCCAGGCACGGTGGCTCATGCCTGTAATCCCAGCACTTTGGGAGGCCGAGGCGGGAAGATCATGAGGTCAGGAGATCGAGACCATCCTGGCTAACACGGTGAAACGCCGTCTCTACTAAAAATACAAAAAATTAGCTGGGCGTGGTGGCAGGCACCTGTAGTCCCAGCTACTTGGGAGGCTGAGGCAGGAGAATGGTGAACCTGAGAGGAGGAGCTTGCAGTGAGCCGAGATCGTGCCACTGCACTCCAGCCTGGGCGACAGCGCGAGACTGTCTCAAAAAAAAAAAAAAAATAATAATAATAATAATAATAATAATAGTACTTCATAGAGTGGGTATGAAGACTGAGTTCATATTTGTGAAGTGCTTAGGATACTTCCTAGTGTGTAGTAAAGGCTCAATAATTACAAACAGCACTCTGCTTTCTTAATGAGAAAGAGTGCTATTCCTCACAATTTACCATGGATACAGGCTACACCCTTAGAACCACAGGCACTTTAACTCTTAAATAAATTATTGGCCAAGTAGCTTTTCCAACTTACGTAAAAACAAGTATATTAAAGTGCCATCCTTACCTAGTTTGGAAGGATCATACTCAGCTGAAATTTGGATCAATAATTTCTCCATATGGTGGAAGTTTGGAAATTCTTCAGGAATGACTGAAAAAACATTTATATTGCCCTCCAGATCCACAGACAGTTCTTTCAGGCACAGGAACTTATCCAGATTAGGAAAGATTTGGTCTGGAAAGCAGCACAGTTTCCCATTATTAATCTAAAGAGTTCTGAATGGACATTTTAAAACTGTCATTTTGATTCATCCAGCTATTTTCACATGCAAACCTTCCACATACCATAAAACATTCTTTTTTTTTTTTAAAGAATACATATATGAAGATATTGCTTTTTGCAGCTTATGCACTGTATGGGAAGCCCTGTGCTACTCTTCAGACTCACAAAAAGAAATACAGCATCTCGGCTAGGCGCAGTGGCTCATGCCTGTAATCCCAGCACTTTGGGAGGCTGAGGCGGGCGGATCACGAGGTCAGGAGTTTGAGACCAGTCTGGCCAACATAGTGAAACCCCGTCTCTACTAAAAATACAAAAAAAAAAATTAGCTGGGTATGGTGGTGTGCATCTGTAATCCCAGCTACTCAGGAGGCTGAGGCAGGAGAATCACATAAACCTGGGAGACGGAGGTTGCAGTGAGCCAAGATCGCGCCATTGCACTCCAGCCCAGGCTACAGTGTGAGACTCCGTCTCAAAAAAAAAAAAAAAAAGAAGAGAAAAGAAATATAGCATCTCTTCAACAAACGGTTGGGGACAACTGGATTTGCACATGCGAAAGAATGAAGTTGGATTCCTATCCCTCACCATGTAAAAAAAATCAACTCAAAATGGATCAACGACCTAAATATAAAAGCTGAAATCACACAACTCTTAGAAAAAACATAGGAGTTAATCTTCATGACCTTGGATTTGGCAATGGATTCTTAGATAGGACACCAAAAGGACCAGCAATAAAAGAAAAAAACAGATAAATTGGACTTCGTCAAAATTTAAAACTTTCGTGCACAAAGGACATTATAAATAAAGTAAAATGACAACCTATGGAATGGGAAAAATATTTTCAAACTGTGTATCTGATAACAGGTTGAAATCCAGAATATACAAATAACTCTTACAATGCAACAAAAACAACAACAATTTTTAAATGAGCAAACATATTTTTTCAAAAAGTGAAAAGATACTTAACATCATTTTCATGATTTGCATTAGAGAAATGCAAATCAAAACCACAATGAGATACCACTTCACAACTACTAGAATGGCTTTATGATAATCACAAAACAAAATGGGCTGGGTGAGGTGGCTCATACCTGTAATCCCAGCACTTTGGAAGGCCAAGGTGGGTGGATCATTTGAGCCCAGGAGTTCAAGACCAGACTAGGGGCCAGGCACGGTGGCTCATGCCTGTAATCCCAGCACTTTGGGAGGCCGAGGTGGGTGGATCACCTGAGGTCAGGAGTTCAAGACCAGCCTGGCCAACATGGTGAAACCCCATCTCTACTAAAAATACAAAAATTAGCTGGGTGTGGTGGCGGGAGCTTGTAATCCCAGCTACTTGGGAGGCTGAGGCAAGAGAATGGCGTGAACCCAGGAGGCAGAGCTTGCAGTGAGCCGAGATTGCGCCACTGCACTCCAGCCTGGGGGACAGAGCGAGGCTCCATCTCAAAAAAAAAAAAGAAAGAAAAAGAAAAAAGACCAGACTAGGCAACATAGCAAGAATCTGTCTCTACAAAAAATAAAAAATTATCCAGGCACGGTGGTGCATGCTGGTAGTCTCAGCTACTCAGGAGGCTGAGGCAGGAGGATCACCTGAGCTCAAGAGGTTGAGGCTGCAGTGAGCCATGATTGCACCACAGCACTCCAGCTTGGGCAATAGAGCAAGACACTGTCTGAAAAACAACAATGAAAACAAAAACAGGTCGGGCACTGTGGCTCATGCCTGTAATCCTAGCACTTCGGGAGGCCAAGGTGGCTGGACTGCCTGAGCTCAGGAGTTCGAGACCGGCTTGGGCAACATGGCGAAACCCCATCTCTACTAAAAATACAAAAGTTAGCCAGGTATGGTGGTGCACACCTGTAGTCCCAGCTACTCAGGAGGCTGAGACAGGAGAATTGCTTGAACCCGAGAGGTGGAGGTTGCAGTGAGCCAAGATCTCGCCACTGCACTCCAGCCTGGGTGACAGAATTAGACTCTGTCTCCACAAAAACAAAAATTAACAAGTGCTGAAGAGGATGTGGAGTAATTGGAACCTTTGTACATGGATAGTGGGAATGTAAGATGGTGCAGCTACTGTGCAAGTTCCTCAAAAAGTTAAACATAGAACTACCATATGAATCAGCAATTCTGCTTCTAGGTATATACCCAAAATGATTAAAAGCAAGAACTTAAACCGATACTTATAATGCCAGTGTTCATTGCAGCATTATTTATGATAGCCAGAAGGTAGAAACAACCCAAGTGTCTCTCAGCAGCAGAATGGATAAACAAAATGTACTATATACATACCATGGAATATTAGCTATAAAAAGGATGAAGTTCCTTTTCAAAGTTGATACATAATAATTGTACATATTTATGGAGTACATGTGAAGGAATGAAATTCCAATATAGGCTACAACATGATGTACCTTGAACAGTATGCAAAGTGAAATAAGCCAGACAAGTGATAATGCTTATAAACAATATCTAGAAGAGGCAAATTCATAGAGACAGAAAATAGAAGAGAAGTTATCAGGGGCTGGTGGGAGGGAAGATTTTTTTTTTTTTTTTTTTTTTTTTTTTTTTTTGAGACGGAGTCTCACTCGGTAGCCCAAGCTGGAGTGCAGTGGCATGATCTGGGCTCACTGCAACCTCTGCCTCCCAGGCTTAAGTGATTCTCATGCCTCAGCCTCCCGAATAGCTGGGACTACAGGCGCATGCCACCACGCCCAGCTAATTTTTTGTATTTTAGTAGAGATGTGGTTTCACCATGTTGCCCAGGGTGGTCTCAAACTCCTGAGCTCTGGCGATCCACCCTCTTCGGCCTCCCAAAGTGCTGGGATTACAGGCGTGAGCCCCCGCGCCCGGCCCAATTTATTGTTTAATTGGGATGATGAAAAGGTTCTGGAGATGGATAGTGGTGATGGTTGTACAACATAGTGAATGCTTAATGCCACTGAGTTGTACACTTAAAATGATTAAAATGTAAGCTTTGTTACATGTATTTTACCATAATAAAACAGTACTTGAAAAAAGATGAAAAATTTTCTAAATTTGGTAAATGTCAACCCACACATTCCAAAAAAGTTCAGTGCACCTCAAGCAAGATACATACAAAGCAAAGCACACCTAGGCATATAACAGTCAAACTGCTTAAGACCAAAGCAATACTAGCAACAATTAGAAAATGAAAAAATATTTTTAATGACATTTACAATACTTTCAAAAGATATGAGTATCTAGGAATAAATTTAATGAAAGATGGGTTAAGTCTACACTGAAAACTATCAAATAGTGCTTAGAGGAGTTAAGACACAAATAGATGAAGATATTATTTCCCATTAATTTATTTATTTCCCAGGGACTACAGGCCTTTCTTCCTTTAGGCAGCTAGGGTGAAGGTAATTTCTAAGCATCATCTTACATATAGCTAATTCTTTTACTAATAACAGATAATTCATGTCTTTATTAAGAACCTTCAATAATTTAATATAAATATTTTATTCATTTTGTCTGAGTTATTTGAAAACCATTCTATTATTCAAGGACTTTTCACTAATTCATGCTACTGTCAAAAAAAATTAGTGAAGGTTTATTTTATATCTGTTCTATCAATGAGCATGCATGCTTTCATGGCCTCAGAAGTTTTCAACCACTTAAAGTAAGAAAAAGAAATTATACATCAGAATAGTCATCCAAAATATATACAGGTATACCTTGTGACTGGATTGTCCCTGAGACTTCAAGAGATTCCAGGGAAGGCAGGGTGAGAAGCAGTTCCTGTTCGGCTGCGCTGAGTTCCAACTTGCTTATGGAGCACTTGGTGACAGAGGCCTTAGACAGCTCAAGAGCTGGGCGGATGCTTTCTATAAAGCCTCTGCTGTGGTTTAAATGGAGTTCGATGCGCTGTGAAGCTGAGAAAACTGTCATTAGAATCTCAAGCATATCCTGGCCTACAACATCAATATCATTCACATCGACTTCTAGACAGGGAATCTTGTACTGCTTTGGAGAAAGTTTCCAATAGCCAGTACTAAGGTCTGGTGATGCCCTGCGCTGCATATCCATATAGCTCTTTACATTATCCTCTTTTTCAGCTAAATTTCGCTCCCATTCATTCATAGGTTCAAAGGCAGAAGCATAGTCCTGATCTATAGTTGGCACCTGTGATTTGTCAAAACATGTTTCCAGAACTGAAAAATGTGCTCTGGGTGATGTCTTATTTCCTCGTATTGGGAAGTGGATGCTCCTCAACAATGACAAGCTTTCTGGGTGGTCGAAAAAGTACTGTAAGTTAAGCGCACCCAAAGTCAGTGTTCTCCCTTGAAGGAATTGCAAAACAAATGGAGAACACGCAGCAACAGTGTTGCTTTGATAAGCAGTTTTCAGGGCAAGAACCAGTAAATGTTCTGAAACCATTGAAAAGTAAGCTTGTGGACAAATTTGCCACAATCCCCTAAGTAACTGCATCTGCAGTGAAATTTCTGGCTGGTGCTTTAAGTAGTCATCATTTTCAGATATATTCTCCAATGACTCTTTGTTATCCACTAAATGGAGCAAATGAGACACAATTTTGGGCCCTGCTTTTGTTGAAGGGAGGCTGGAGACATAGTTCAAAAAATTGTTGTAGGCGCTTACAGTCATCATGGGTGAGTTGATTTGTTTCAAATGATACAGTCCCAAATCTTGATGTTCCTGCCTATCTGAATCCAGGAGTTCAATCAGCCTCATCCCCGCAAGAAATTCTTGGAAGGCAGGACTTAAAAACCGGTAGAATGGTCTTAGTCTCTGGGCTGTAAATTTGCTCATCAAGCACATGGTTAGATCTTCATCTTCATCAACCCCTGCTTCTGCGAGATCATCATCATTAAACTCAAAGCAACATGAAAAAAACCCTTTCAAGGCCAGCTCACCACAGGAGGACACAGTTGCTTTGAGAATTTCAGCTGTCGCTTTGTTCCTTAAGGAAAGGCGTTCCATATAGGACTTGAAAACAGCCACATCATCAAAGGATGGGTCAAAAGGATACTGAAACCAATGAGCACAGATCGCCGCCACAAAGAGAGGAGTTTTCTGTATCTTCTGCAAACTTTGGTTCTTTCCAAAGTAAACCATAAACTTTCGCAGACGAGTCATATTATGTGAAAAGAGCTTCCGTAATATACAGACAGTATTATAAAAGGGAAATGCTTTGATCTCTAGAATGGTCTCTAGGTATCGGCGGATGTCCCTGGCCCTGTTTGTACGGACAGCAATCAATAGGCAGGTCCGGGATAAGTGGTTTTTTTGAATCAGTTTTCCTATGACTTGAGGGATTGAACATATTTCTTTGTAGTCATCTAAAAGGAATAAGACCTGATTCTTTAACTGCTGGATAATGTTCCTCATGCACATTTCAGTAACAGATCCTTCTTTCTCTAGGAGCTGGTCACAGATGATACTGGCCAGCCCCTCGTCTGGTCTGGTGGAACTAAGGGAGAGGTAGAAAACCAGCTGGAACCTGTTTAACAGGGGACAGCATCCAGATGCCCACAGAAAAGCTATTTTCTTCAGGAGGACCGTCTTTCCACTTCCAGCTTCACCCTCCACACACATGACAGAGTTCAAGTTGCCAAAGACCTCAGGCAGCACCAGAGGTTCTTGCACAGGTTTGCTGATGTGTTTTGAAGCAATAGACAGATCACAGCCCAGCAAGTGGTCCGTGGCCAGATCGGAAGAGATATCAAGCAAAGACATGTGGCGGAAACTGGCGCTGGTATAAGCTGCTCTCAGCTGCTCATTCAGATTCTTTGCCTCTTGAAACCACTGGGCTTCACCCTGTGCCATTTCTGTGGAGAGAAAGAAAGGGGGGCACAACAGGGATTCATAGTCACATCTCCCTCAGTCTGAACGCCATGCCTTTTCATTCCATGATTCTGCCTGTCTACTACGAATGTGTTAGGATTTTCCACAGCCATCCATGATTCCCACATTGCGATCATCTCATAGGTTTTGGCACAAAATCGGAATGTGGAAAGCATGTGTCCAAAGTGCCACACTTGAAGCAGGGACCTAGACATAATGTGTGCTTATCATAAGCACCATGCATCTCAGGAAAGAGGCCAGGCAAAGTGACTCATGCCTGTAATCCCAGCACTGTGGGAGACCGAGGCAGGCGAATTGCTTGAGCCTAGGAGTTCAAGACCAGCCTGGCCAACATGGCAAAACCCTGTCTCTACAAAAAATACAAAAATTAGCCAGGTGTGGTGGCACATGCTTGTGGTCCCAGCTACTGGGGAGGCTGAGATGGGAGGATCACTTGAGCCTGGGAGGTCGACGCTGCAGTGAGCCATGATCTTGCCATTGCATTCCAGCCTGGGTGACAAAGTAAGACCCTGTCTCAAATAAAATAAAATAAAATAAAATGAATAAAAATAAAAATCTCAGGAAAGAAGTTTACTGATTGGTGCTTCTAAGGACTGGTTTGCTTGTACCTGAGACACGTTGCCTACTATCAGTTTGGTCCTGCCTGCACTCTGGAGAAGCCACAAGAATCTTGACTTTTGCTCATACACGACACTGTTGCAATGCTGCTCCTCTTTGGAAGCTCTTTGGACAATTATAAATACTCTTTTTTTTGCAACTGCCCTGTATACAAATATATTTACAAATACATATAATCCCACGTGCTACTTCAAAGTTCTTACCTGGCACTATAGGACCAACTGCTATTGAATCTTCAAGATTGCTTTCACTTGTGGTTTCCTTTGAAAAATAAAATCTTTTCTTAAATCAAAATTTGTATAGGAGAGTGGTGCATCATGTTGTAATCATTGGAGACTAAACATCTTCTAAACACAGCCCACCCTCAAATATTTATGCTGATTGAAGGGAGGGGTGCTCCAAATATAAAGCAATTAATAATCTGCAAACATCTGCAGGAATGTGTGTTCCTCAGTGGTTCATATATGATACAATCCATGGGTGATACTATCCAGGTAACGAGAATCATAGTGTCTTGAGCAAGAAGGTTCCTCCAAAAGTCATTAGGTGCAGCCTCTGTCCTTGGTTAACTACATTTTTAATATTACACATCCAGTACTTAGAAAGGTTATGTTTCTTCCTTAAAAAATAAGCTATTTCTATATCCCCAAACTTTTTTCTTTAGTGCCATTTTTCAATTCATATAGAAAATGAATCACGTGAATAGCAAGTTGGTTTTTGTGTGTGTTGGGGGTGGGGGGATGACAAACATAACATACCTAACACACAGCCTCAAAATAAGGTGGTATATGTGTGCATTAAATTAGTAGTGGCTTATATCCCAGAGAACTAGGTAGGATTTCTCAGCTTAAAGTGGTCAGCCTATTACCTGGGTTTATGATTTTGTTGGGCACTTGCTTTTGTTAAAGTAACATCTTCTCAACCCCTAAAAAGGCCAAGTAGCAAATCCAGCCTTATTGCCCTCCACATGAAGATCCAGAGAGGATCCATTTAGCCTGGATGCTAATCAACAAAGTCTAAGAGAGTCTGGGCCTTGAAGTAGAAGAGATTGACTATACATTTCATGAAGCTAGGTATTGTGCCCGACTGGTTTATTGTGATTTCCCCAATCTGTACCTAGAACATAACAGATGTTTAGTAGATGTTTGTAGAATTTATTAACTTATTTATGATGAGACATTCCTGTTCAAAACAGTTTTCAATTATATGATCATGTGCTGGTAAAACAGACAAGATGACGGTGTTCATTACCAGTAATTCACAAAGTTCACCACGGCTCTGAAGGTCTGGAGTCACTTCCGCAGAGGACTTCATATTTTGGAGAAATGGACAACTAAGTGTAAAAGTTAAAAGTTATAAAAATAGTTGTATGCATTTAAGTATTTGTGTTAGGTATTTTTGTTGTTGTTGTTGCTGTTGTTGTTTGTTTTGTTTTTTCAGAGACAGGGTCTCACTATGTTGCCCAGGCTGTTCTGGTTTCAAACTTCTGGCCTTGAGCAATTCTCCTCCCTAGGCATCCCAAAGTGCTGGGATGATAGGTGTGAGCCGCCAGGCCTGGCCTTGTATTAGGTTTTTAAAAACACTATTAGAGTTTTAGTGACAAGAATTAAGTATAAAACTATCATTTCCAGTGATTCTCTCTGTCAGTGTCATCAGGTAAGGCACTTAGGTTGTGGCTCTCTGCAAGAGAAATGTAAATGGTTTATAAAGTAATGGTAAAGGATATCAAGGGAATTTGGTGGAATGAGTGCGTATATGACACTCCTCCATGCAACCAACAAAAATGAACTTAAAGAATCAAAAATAGGAAAAAAAAAACCCTCTATTTATGAATTCTGGAACAAAAAACAACATAGTGGAAAAACTGGTGAAATCCAAATAAACTCTGGATTTTAGTAAATAGTAATGTACAGTATATGAATTGGTACACTGATGATTTTGACAAATATGCTAGTGTAAGATGTTAGCATTAGGGTAAATTGGGTATGGCAATATATAGGAACTCTTTGTATTACTTTGCACTTTCTGCAAATCTAAATAATTTCAAATAAAAATTTATTAAAAAAAGAAAAAAACTCTGTGAGTGCGGTGGTTCACACCCAAAATCCCAGCACTTTGGGAGGCCGAGGCGGGCAGATCACTTGAGGCCAGAAGTTTGAGACCAGCCTGGCCAACATGGCAAAACCCTGTCTCTATTAAAAAGAAAATTCCAAAATTAACCAGGCAGTGGTGGCGCACACCTGTAGTCCTAGCTACTTAGGAGGCTGGGGCACAAGAATCGCTTGAACCTGGGAGGCGGAGGTTGCAGTGAGCTGAGATTGTGCCACTGCACTCTAGTCTGGGCAATGGAGTGAGACTCTGTCTCAAAACAAAACAAAAAACAAACAAGGCCAGGCATGGTGGCTCACGCCTGTAATCCCAGCAGTTCGGGAGGCTGAGGCGGGTGGATCACTTGAGGTCAGGAGTTTGAGACCAACCTGACCAACATGGTGAAACCTCACCTCTACTAAAAATACAAAAATTAGCCGGGCGTTGTGGCGGACGCCTGTAATCCCAGCGACTTGGGAGGCTGAGGCAGGAGAATTGCTTGAACCCAAGAGGCAGAAGTTGAAGTAAGCCGAGATCGCACCATTGCACTCTAGCCTGGGCAACAGGAGTGAAACTCTGTCTCAAAAACAAACAAACAAACAAACAAAAAACTAACCAACCACAAACCACTCCATTGCCAGGTGCAATGGCTCATGCCTGTAATCCCAGCACTTTGGGAAGCCAAAGTAGGAGTTTCACTTGAGGCCAGAAGTTCAAGACCAGACCAACCTGTGCAACATAGAGAGACCTCCTCTAAAAATTAGCTAGCAGGGTGGCATGCATGTATAGTCCCAGCTACTTGGGGGTGCTGAGGCAAGAAGATCACTTGAGGCCAGGAGGTTGGGGCTACAGTGAGCCGTGATTGCATCACTGCACTCCAGCCTGGGTGACAGAGTAAGACCCTGTCTTAAACAAACAAAAAATTAAAAAAGAAACCCTCCGTCAGTATCAAAAGAAAAGAATGGCCACAAACATACTCTCTAAAAACTACTTGCCAATCTCGTGAAACTAGGACGCAAATACCCTCTAAACTCAGGTTTGATGTATGCTTGAAGAACGAGAGAAAGTTCAAAAAGAGCTCTAGTTGCAATTATTAAAATGGACAGATGAGAACTATACATGTGAGTAAGTCAGTGGCCTATTCCATGCTGTAGAATCACTGGAGAGCAGGAGTAAAGCAAAGGGACACTTTTTTTTTTTTTTTTTTTTTTTTGAGACAAGGTCTCACTCTTTTGTCCAGGCTTGAGGGTAGTGACACGACCAAGGATCAATGTAGCCTCCAACTCCCAGGCTCAAGTGATCCTCCCACCTCAGCCTCCCAAGTAACTGGGACTACAGGCACGTGCCACCATGCCAGGCTAATTTTTTTTTTTTCTGGGCTCAAGGTATCCTCCCACCTCAGTTTCCCAAAGTGCTGGGATTACAGGCGTGAGCCACTGCATGTGGCCCAGATACTTCATTTGTATTGCCTTCAGGTGACTTGGCGATGAGTCCAGAAATAGAAGCATAGCTTCAGGAAAACAACAAGTAGAACTTTTAACGTTTCTGTCCAAAGTCAGCCATGTAGAGGTAAATAAAAACAAACCCATAGGGAAGGGGTGAAGTGGCTTACAAAAGAAAAAAAATATTTTAATAGGCCCATCAAGGAAAAGAACTATGAAGGAAGGTAAAATATAAACTTATTCATACAAACAAATGCCAAATAAAGTCAGTTGCCAGCATAACTGCACTACAAAAAATGTGAAAGGGACCAGGCACAGTGGTTCACCCCTGTAATCCCAGCACTTTGGGAGGCTGAGGCAGGCAGATCATGAGGTCAGGAGTTCAAGACCAGCCTGGCCAACATGGTGAAACTCTATCTCTACTAAAAATACAAAAATTAGCCTGGCATGGTGGTGGGCACCTGTAATCCTAGCTACTCAGGAGGTTGAGGCAGGAGAATCACTTGAACCCGGGAGGCAGAGGTTGCAGTCAGCCGAGATCGTGGCGCTGAACTCCAGCCTAGGAGACAGAGCAAGACTCCATCTCAAAAAAAAAAAAAAAAAAAAAAAAAAAAAAGTGAAAGGAAGCACATCATTTAAAAGGAAAATGATAGCAGATGGAAATTTGGTTCTACTCAAAGGAATGAAAAGTACCAGGAATGATAAGATAACTAAGAGGGCAAATATGAAAGACTTTTGCCGTTGTAAAAATGTACTTAAATTGTTTAAAGCAAAGATATAACATTATATTGTAAGATTTATTAAAGTACATGGAAATAAAATGTATGACAATAGCACAAAGGATGAGAGGGGAGAAATGGAAATATACTATTGTATGGTTCATACATTTTATGTCAAGTGTTATATATTTTTTTGACCCAGAGTCTCACTGTGTCACCCAGGCTGGAGTGCAGTGGCACGATCTCAGCTTTCTGCAGCGTCTGCTTCCTGGGTTCAAGCAATTCTCGTGCCTCAGCCTCCCAAGCAGCTGGGATTACAGGTGTGCGCCACCACACCCAGCTAATTTTTTTGTATTTTTAGTAGAGACGGGGTTTCACCATGTTGCCCAGGTTGCTCTGGAACTCTTGACCTCAAGTGATCTGCCTGCCTCAGCCTCCCAAATTACCGGGATTACAGGCATGAGCCACTGCACCCAGCTGTTATAATATTTTTGAAGATTACTATGATATGTTAAATAGGCATATGGTAAACTCTAGAGCAAGTAGTAAAAAGGTAAAATAAGGATTAATAGCTAATAAGCTGACAGAAATAAAATGGAGTACAAAAAAAAATACTCAAGGAGGGGGTAGAAAAAAGAAAAAAAAAAAAACCCTAAACCCTAGGAAGTCAGGAAAAGAAAAAGAAACAAAGAAGTGATGAAATAAATAGAAAGCAAATGGTAAAATAGGTTTAAATCCAACCATATTCATAATTGCATTAAATTTAAACGTTCTAAACATTCCAATTAGAAAGCAGTTATTGTCAGACTCTTAAAAAGCAAGACCTGGCCAGGCGTGGTGGCTTACGCCTGTAATCCCAGCACTTTGGGAGGCCAAGGCAGGTGGATCATGAGGTCAGGAGATCGAGACCATCCTGGCTAACACGGTGAAACCCCGTCTCTACTAAAAATACAAAAAATTAGCCAGGTGTGGTGGCGGGGTGCCTGTAGTCCCAGCTACTCGCGAGGCTGAGGCAGGAGAATGGTGTGAACCCAGGAGGCGGAGCTTGCAGTGAGCCAAGATCGTGCCACTGCACTCCAGCCTGGGCGACAGAGCAAGACTCCGTCTCAAAAAAAAAAAAAAAGAGAAAACCTGGCTGGATGTGGTGGCTCACACCTCCATCTCAAAAAAAAAGCAAGACCTGCTGGGTTCAGTGGTCCACACCTGTAATCCCAGCACTCTGGGAAGACAAGGCAGGAGAATTGCTTGTGGCTAGGTGTTCGAGATCAGACTGGGCAACATAGTGAGACCTTGTCTCTATAAAAAACTAACAAACTTAGCCAGGCTTGGTGGCATGTGCCTGTAGTCCCAGCTACTCAGGAGTCTGAGGTGGGAGGATTGCTTGAGCCTGGGAAGTCCAGGCTGCAGTGAGTCAAGACTGCACCACTGCACTCCAGCGTAGGCAACAGAGCGAGTCTGTCTCATAAACAAATAAAAAATAAAATAAAAGACCCCACTGTGTTGTTGCCTATAACAATTCACTTTAAGGCTGGGTGCAGTGGCTCATGCCTGTAATCTCAACACTTAGGGTGGCAGAGGTGGGAGGACAGCTTGAGCCCAGGAGTTTGAGATCTGCCTGGGCAACATAGTGAGACCCCGTTACCCACAAAAAGGAAAAGGAAAAAACAAGAATTGACTTTAAATATAGTCACAGATAGATTAAAAAGAAAATAATCTAAAAGATGTAACATGAAAAAACTAATAAAGGCCTAAAAAATACTATCAAGGATAAAGAGGGATATTTCTGTTTTTTAGAGACAAAGTTTTACTCTGTCACCCAGGCCACAGTACAGTGGCACAATCATAGCTCATTGCAACCTATACTCCTGAGCTCAAGCGATTCTCCTGCCTCTGCCTCCCAGGTAGCTGGGACTACAGATGCATGCTACCACACCCTGTTTGTTTTAAAAATTTTTTGTAGAAATGGAGTCTAGCTATGTTGCAAAGGCTAGTCTCAAACTCCTCGCCTTGTGCACTCCTCCCACCTCAGCCTCCCAAAGTGCTGGGATTATAGGTGTGAACCACCATGCCTGCTTGGGATATTTAATATATTCTCTGGAATATGAAAGACCAAAGGGCAAAAAAATAGCTAAGACACACTCTTGAAGAGAAAGAACAAGACTATTCTGCAGGAAAATATGAAAATAAGCTCAACTGCCGGGCGCGGTGGCTCACACCTGTAATCCCAGCACTTTGGGAGGCTGAGGTGGGTGGATCACCTGAGGTTGGGAGTCCGAGACCAGCCTGACCAACATGGAGAAACCCCATCTCTACTAAAAATACAAAATTAGCTGGGCGTGGTGGCACATGCCTGTAATCCCAGCTACTCGGGAGGCTGAGGCAGGAGAATCACTTGAACCTGGGAGGCGGAGGTTGTGGTGAGCCGAGATCGTGCCATTGCACTCCAGCCTGGGCAACAAGAGTGAAACTCCGTCTCAAAAAAAAAAAAAGAAAGAAAAAAAGAAGAAGAAAATAAGCTTAACATTATTAGTAATTACACTGACAAAAATTAAAATTTGGGCAATACCAAGTTAGTGAGGAAGCAAATCAATAGAAACGCATCTAGGCCAATGGGAATGTAAATCAGTGCAACCACTTGGGAAAAAGCTTTGCATTATCTAGTGGAGTTGAACACCCGCAAAGTTCTATGACTCTGCAATTCTTTACTTTGTTATGTATCCTAGAGAAACACACATGAGCACTGGAAAATATGTACAAGAATGTTCATAGGGCATTATTTGAATTTGCAACACTCTGAAAACGACCCACGAGGTTAATCAACAGTAAAATAAGTTATTATATATTCATAAAATAATACACTATTTACCAATGAAAACAAGTGAACTACAACTGTGTAGTACATATAAATATGGATGAATCTCAAAAACATCGTGGAGTAAAACCAGCCAATTACAAGAAGAATCATGCAGTATGCTTCTTATTTGAACTTCAAGAATAGACAAAGCTAAATATGTTTAAGGATGTATATGTAGTTGGTAAAACCACAAAGAGAAGCAAGGGAATAATTAACCCAAACTGAGCATCACATTTACCTCTGGATTGGAGGGACAGGGATATAATCAGAATTAGGGGGTGGTTGGCATGCAGAGTTGTTTTTTGTTTTTTGATTTTTTTTTTTTGAGACAGAGTCACGCTCTGTCGCCCAGGAGTGCAATGGCGCCATCTTGGCTCACTGCAACTTCCGCCTCCCAGGTTCAAGCCATTCTCCTGCCTCAGCCTCCCTAATAGCTGGGACTACAGGCGTGTGTCACCAGGCCCGGTTAAATTTTTCTGTTTTTTAACAGAGATGGGGTTTCACCATGTTGCCCAGGCTGGTCTCGAACTCTTGAGCTCAGACAATCTGCCCACATCGGCCTCCCAAAGTGCTGAGATTACAGGCGTGAGTCACTGCACCCGGCCGCAGGGGTCTTTTAAGGCATTGATAATGTCCAATTTCTTGACTTTACTAGGAGGTTCATAGGTTGCTTTTTATTCATTCTTTAAAGCATACATAAAAATTTTAGGTAATCATTTGGAGACATACTGGTTTGCAGTTTTTTTAAGAGGCAAAGGAAGAGTAAAAATCCAAAAAGGAGTTGGCTGGGAGCAGTGGCTCATGCCTGTAATCCAAGTACTTTGGGAGGCTGAAGCAGAAGGATCATTTGGAGCCAGGAGTTTGAGACCAGCCTGGGCAACAAAGCAAGACCCCATCTCTACAAAAAAAAACTTTAAAAAATTAGTCGGGCATGGTGACACATGCTTGTAGTCCTAGCTACTTGGGAGGCTGAGGTGGGAGGATCACTTGAGCCCAGGAATTTGAGGCTACAGTCAGCTAGGATTGTACCACTGCACTTGCTCCAGCCTGGGTGACAGAGCCGAGACCCAGTCTCTTAACAAAAAAACACTAAAGGCCAGGTGTGGCGGCTCACACCTGTAATCCCAGCACTTTGGGAGGCTGAGGCAGGAGGATCACTTGAGGTCAGGAGTTCAAGACCAGCCTGGCCAACATGGTGAAACCCCGTCTCTACTAAAAGTACAAAAAATTAGCCAGGCATGGTGGGGAGGTACCTGTAATCCCAGCTACTTGGGAGGCTGAGGCAGGAGAATCGCTTGAACCCGGGAGGCGGAGGTTGCAGTGAGCCGAGATCACGCCACTGCACTCCAGCCTGGGTGACAGAGTGAGACTCCATCTCAAAAACAACAACAACAAAACACTAAAACTAATAATAATAATAATAGTATAAAAGGGAGTTGATCGATTCCAGAGTAAGTTCTAAATAAGACTAGACTGCATCCTAGCTTATCCTTCCAAGAATTAAGTAGAATGTCCCCATTGTTCTCAATAATTTATTATACACTAAGCCCAAATAAGAAAGAAAAATGAGGTAACTACTGCTATCAAAATACCTTCAAGGCAATAAAATTAGATAGAAGTATTCATTTTGTTTTATTTTTGTTTTTACCACTATACAAATGAGCAGGAAGCATTCATTTTAAAATCTGTATGTGTTCATATTCATTTCTAAAAAAAAAACTCTTACTAATTACATAGTGAAAACACAAATTTCTTCTTGCAATTAAACATTTCTAAAGAGTTTGATGGGTAAAAAAAAATTAAGTTTAAAGATTCATAGAAAAGAAATATTTCTTCATAAAATTTTAGAACAGATATTTTTCTGAAAGCTTCCAGCACAGGAAAAAAAAAAATTTTGTTTGCAGTAAAAGGATTGACAAGCAGAAAGGCATGGAACTTCTCGACAGCACATTAGGAACCAGTAGAAATGTAGCAGTGCCTCTACAATTTAGAATTAAAATGACTTCCAACCTATAATTCTACACCTAGCTAAACTATCAAATAAGTGTGAGAATACAGGAAAAACATATATCTAGATAGATCTATATGTCTGTATATGCATTATATGCAACTAAAAGTGTGTATTTCTTATGCAGTCTTTCCCAGGGAACTCCGATGAAGTGTTCCAACAAAATGAGCGAGTGAACCAAGAAGAGGATGACATTAGATCCAGGAGATACAACAGAGGAGATAATCTCCAGGATGCCTGTGAAGAAAGATCCCTGGATCCCAGGATGATTATAGGACAAGTTGTTCATAATCCAGCAGGCCAGAAGACTTCCAGGGAAACTCATTTCAAGATGAAAATGGACCAGCCGCAGTGGCTCACGCCTGTAATACCAGCACTTTGGGAGGCTGAGGCAGGCGGATCACTTGAGGTCAGGAGTTTGAAACTAGCCTGGCCAACGTGGCAAAACTCCATCTCTATTAAAAATACAAAAATTAGCCAGGCATAGTGGTGCATGCCTGTAGTCCCAGCTACTTGGGATGCTGAGGCAGGAAGAATTGCTTGAACCTGGGAGGCAGAGTCTGCAGTGAGCCGAGATCATGCCACTGCACTCCAGCCTGGGTGACAGAGCCAGACTCCGTCTCAAAAAAAAAAGAAAAAGAAAAAAAAAATGATGACTCTTTCAAGAAATGAAAATGATGAGATATCTGGTAGGTCTGAATGACTTAAGAGGAGATTTAAACATTTGGGATAAGTTGAAGATGAGCTGGTGTTCGTCTTCATTTATTTCATTTAAATAAATAAAATTATTAATACATGAATTTTATCTCAAGAAACAAAAATAAGCAATGTACATAAAAATTAAGCAGATGGCTGGCCGGGCGCGGTGGCTCACGCCTGTAATCAGAGCACTTTGGGAGGCTGAGGCGGGTGGATCACAAGGTCAGGAGATGGAGACCATCCTGGCTAACACGGTGAAACCCCGTCTCTACTAAAAAAATAAATAAAAAATAAATTAGCCGGGCATGATGGCAGGTGCCTGTAGTCCCAGCTACTCGGGAGGCTGAGGCAGGAGAATGGCATGAACCCAGGAGGCGGAGGTTGCAGTGAGTGAGATCACGCCATTGCACTCCAGCCTGGGCGACAAAGTGAGACTCCATCTCAAAAAAAAAAAAAAAAAAAAAAAAAAAATTAAGCAGATGGCTATAATTTTTTTAAAAATAGAAAAGTGTTGATGAGAAATGGGAAACCTCATACATTGTTGGTCAAACTGTATGCTTCCATTTAGAGGAAATAGTCAGAACAAATAAATCCATAGACACCAATTAGGTTGGTGTATCCCAGGGGCTGGGCATGGAGTGGGGTGGAGAGAGAAGGAGGGCCTGCTTAGTGGATACAGAGTTTTCTTTGGGGGCGATGAAAGTGTTTTGGAACTAGATAGAGGGGGTGGTTGCACAACATTGTTGTTGGTGGGAATTTAAAATGGTGCAAGCACTGTGGAAAAAACAGTTTAGCATTTCCTCAAAAAGTTAAAACAGGCCAGGCGCTGTGGCTCACGCTTGTAATTCCAGCACTTTGGGAGGCCAAGCCAGGTGGATCACTTGAGGTCAGGAGTTTGAGACCAGCCTAGCCAACATGGTGAAACCCTAAAAATACAAAAAATTAGCCGGGCATGGTGGCAGACACCTGTAATCCCAGCTACTCAGGAGACTGAGGCAGGAAAATTGCTTGAACCTGGGAGGCGGAGGTTGCAGTGAGCTGAGATCGCACCGCTGCACTCCAGCCTGAGCGACAGAGTGAGACTCTGTGTGAGAAAAAAAAAAAAAAAGTAAAAACATAGAATTACTATACAGCTAGCAATATCGTTGTTAGGTATATGCCCCAGAGACTTGAATACAGTTACATGCTCCATCAGATACCTGTACCCAAATGTTCCTATCGGTATTACTCATGGTAGCCAAAAGGTAGAAACAACCCAAATATCTACAAATAGATGAATGGATAAATAAAATGCAGTGTATCCATATGGAATATTACTTGGTCTCAAAAGGAAGGAAGTACTTATGCAAGCTACAACATGGATAAACTTCAAAACAATATGCCAAGTGAAAGAATCCAAATGCAAAAGGTCAAACGGTATGCTTCCATTTAGAGGAAATAGTCAGAACAAATAAATCCATAGACACCAATTAGGTTGGTGTATCCCAGGGGCTGGGCATGGAGTGGGGTGGAGAGAGGAGGGGGGCCTGCTTGATGGATACAGAGTTTTCTTTGGGGGCGATGAAAGTGTTTTGGAACTAGATAGAGGGGGTGGTTGCACAACATTGTGAATGTACTATAATAAATGCCACAGAATTGTGTACTCTAAAATGGTTTAATTGCTGTGCATGGTGGCTCACGCCTATAATCCCAGCACTTTGGGAAGCCAGGATGGGAAGACTGCTTGAGCCTAGAAGTCTGAGAGCAGCCTGGGCAACATAGAGAGACCCTGTCTCTTAAAAAAAAAAAAAAAAAATTAGCTGGGTGTGAAGACATGTGCCTGTAGTCCCAGCTACTTGGGAGGCTGAGCGAGGAAGATTGCTTGAGCCAGAGAGGTCAAGGCTGCAGTGAGCCATGATTGCACCACTGCACTCCAACCTGGGCAAGAGAGAGAACCTGTCACAAAAAATAATAAATAAATAAATAAAATGGTTACTACCTGAATTTTACCTCAGGAAAAAAAAATAAGCTAACATACCAACAGGACAGTTATTACTTCCTAAAAAAATAAAAGGATATACAGGAAGGGAAAATAAATAAAAATTTACCACAAGCTTCAGCTCCACATAGCATTTGTATAGTCATGATAATGTAAACATGTAATGTGAATATATGAATCTAGCCAAAACTATGCCATAACTATAAAGAGGGGAAGGCTAGTACAGGAAGGGGGTCATGGAGCAAAGGGATGAAAGACATGAAGACTCATCCTTCATAGCCTGAATCCGAGGAGTGGATAAAGACTCAATCTAAAGATAAAATAAGGCAGGAAATGAGGAAAAAGAAAAAAACTGTTGAAGTGCATCCAAAGTTGCAGATGGTTAACATTCATTCCACTCACTTGGGAAAACATCTGGTGTGATCGTCTAATGGGTCATCACCTTCCTGCCATTTCTCTAAACACCCTCCACAGGAAAAGCACTGGACGATGTCCTTTATACCTAAAAGTAAGGAAACTTGATCAGTGCCACTGGCATGGGCATCTGTCCATTAACATGCAGATAATAACCACCAGACCTGTAATAGTGAAAGCCTATTCAGTCTCCAGTTGGGTTTTGTGACAGTCAGAAGTTGGTTACCAGTGAGGCAATTTTCTATATAAGACTCTGTCCACCAATGGGGTAACTGGCAAGTAGTCATTGAATGCTCCTACACACCATGCACTTTGATGCACACCATCCCTCTGCCCCATTCTCCTTTGATCAACAAACAGATTGGCAACCAGAATCTGGAATTGAAGCTCCATGAGGGGGCTGGGCGCAGTGGCTCATGCCTGTAATCCCAGCACTTTGGGAGGCCAAGGCCAGCGGATCTCCTGAGGTCAGGAGTCTGAGACCAGCCTGGCCAACACGGTGAAACCCTGTCTCTACTAAAAATACAAAAATTAGCTGGGCATGGTGGCACATGCCTGTAATGCCAGCTACTCAGGAGGCTGAGGCACAAGAATCGCTTGAACCCAGGAGACGGAGGTTGCAGTGAACCAAGATAACGCCATTGCACTCCAGCCTGGGCAACAAGAGTGAAACTCTGTCTCAAAAAATAAAAATAAAAATAAGCTCTATGAGGGTAGAGGTTTTTGCTCACTAATGAATGACATGAACCTAGAAAAGTGCTTGACACTCATGTGGCACTCAATTAGTATTCGTTTAATGAATGAATCAGAAAGAATATATTTAGAGCTCACGGAAAAAAAAATACCAGCAAATCTAGCAGCCCTTATGTAAGTGAATGCATGAAGAATTAATTGCCTCTTACCACATTATTGCCATGTTTATTACACCAGAAATAGGATTAAGTCTCTTTGTGAAATTATATTTCTTTGGAAAGAAATTGGTATTTAGCTCTGCAAAAGGATCAAACTAGAAACAGAGCATTTCTCATCTTCCTTCCACTCTGGGAAAGCTGGGGCAGAGGAAAGCCTCCCAGAAATATGAGATCCTAGAGCTTGCAAGATCTGAAAACAGTCAGAGATGATTAGGATTTGTGTGGAGTGGTGGAGGATTGGAAAGGAAGAGGGGGAGCACACTGGTCAGAGGGGTCTTGCGGAAGGCTGACAAGAGGAAGACACAGTAGAGTAGGGAGAAATGGCAAACACTCTTTCCAAAGGCTTAAGATTGTGAGGCAGTCAGATTTTTTTTTTCCAATGGCACATGTCTGTTAGGTAGAGTGACAACTATATTCTGCTTCTCTGTGTTGCTCTATGGTATTTGTGACAACTACTTGATCTCTCAGTTAAAGATCTGCATTAACCTCCACTGTAACTTATGCATGTGTTCGGTTTGAGCAAGACCAGCAAGGTACCTAGGAACCTTTCCCTGATCATCTTGTATTTCAGGCAGAGATTTAGCTGACAGGAACCAGCCCATCATTTATAGATTGCAGAGGTGCTTCCTAATGACCAGCAGCTAAAGAGAAAATGCCACAATCTGGTGGAAGGCTCTACATGTTTAGGAATCATGAAAATTAATTTCCTGATTTTCTCCTGCAGGCAGAATGTGGCAAAGATTGCTATCCATGTTCCTATTATCTCAAATCCTTCCATACTAATAGAAATCCCAATATTTAGCTGGGCACATTGTCACCCAGGAAAAAGATTAGGTTTCCCAGCTCCTCTTACAGCTAGGTATGGTCATCTGACTAATAATAATAATAATAATAATAATAATTATTATTATTATTATTATTTTTGAGACAGAGTTTCACTCTTGTTGCCCAGGCTGGAGTGCAATAGCATGATCTTGACTCCCCGCAACCTCCACGTCCCAGGTTCAAGCGATTCTCCTGCCTCAGCCTCCCAAGTAGCTGGGATTACAGGCACCCGCCACCATGCCTGGCTAATTCTTTGTATTTTTAGTAGAGACAGAGTTTCACCATATTGGCCAGGCTGGTCTCAAACTCCTGACCTCAGGTGATCCACCCACCTCGGCCTCCCAAAGTGCTGGGATTACAGGCGTGAGCCACCATGCCCGGCCCATCCAACTAAGTTCTGATTAAAGAAATATAAGCAGAAGTGTCCTGTGACAGTTTCTAGGAGCACTTTGTCAGGGGACAAGAGGTGAGGAGAGTAATGTGTAGAAAGAAAAGACATGATAATTATCACAAATAGAATACTTGTATTCATTGTTAGTCCAGACCTTAAGGTTTCAAATTTGAAGGTTTACCACCTAAGGGAGGAATAGAAAACTGGGAGAGGATTTATGATGCAGGAAAGAAAAGAGATGTATGCCAGGTGCAGTGGCTCACACCTGTAATCCCAGCATTTTGGGAGGCCAAGGCAGGAGGATTACTTGAGCCCAGGAGGTTGAGGCTGCAGTGAGCCATGATCTCGCCACTGCCCTCCAGCCTGGATGACCATGTCTCAAAAAAAATAGAAAG